>NC_000010.11:85294610-85446125 GCF_000001405.40 Homo sapiens
AAGAGCATTTAGGTGGTTAGTAATATTTGGCTATTACAATCAAAGCTGCTATGAACATTCCTGTACAGGTTTCTGTGTGAACATATTTTACATGACAGAAAAATGCCACAATAAAATTAAAAGGGCACATTACACACTAGAGGAAAAAAAAGAGTGACACTAATAAGACAAATTCTGGATTTTCCTAACATAAAGAAAAGAATAGTTTCTTTTCACCAAGCTAAATGTCCAGAAGTGTGATTGCTAAAACCTAGTTTAAGTTTATCTTTAGTTTTTAAAAAATCTATTATTTTTCTATTGCTGCCATAACAACCTTAATGACTTAAACATCACAAATTTATTGCCTTATAGTTCTTATAGTTCCAGTGGTCAGCGGTCTAAAATGGTCCCAATGGGCTAACATCAAGGTGTTGGCAGAGCTGTGCTGCTTTCTGGAGGCTCTAGGGGATAATCCACTTATTTCCTTTTTTCCAGTTTACAGAGAAGCTACATTCCTTGACTGTGGCTTCATTCCTCCATCTTCTAAGACATTAACATCACGTTTCTCCAACTCTTCTTTTGTCATTGGTCTCTTTTTCTGAGTATAACCAGGAAAAATTCTTTGCTTTTCAGGACTCAATTGCTTAGATTGTGCCTACTCAGATGACCCAGTTTAATCTTCAAGGTCCTTGACGTTAATCACATCTATAAAGTCTCTTTTGCAGTCTAAAATAATAGTCACAAGTTCAGGCATCAGGGTGTCAACATCTTTGGGAATTTTTATCTGCCAACACAGCAAGTGCCAAACTATTTCCCAGAGTGGCCATACCTTTTAACATCCCCATCAGCAATATATAATAGATCCAGTTTCTGCATGTCCTCATGAGCATTTGTTATTGTCCCTATTTTTCCCGGGTTTTTTTTTAATAGCTATTTGGGATATTTCATCATGATTTTAATTTGCATTTCCTTAATGGCTAACAAAGTGAACATCTTTTTATGTGCTTATTTGCCATCCATATATCCTCTTCAGTGGCATATCTGGTCGTGTCTTGTGCTTATTTTCCAGTTGGATTTTTCATTTTTTTGTTCAGTTTTATGAGTCCTTTATATACTTTAAATATGAATTCTTCATTAGATATGCAGTTTGCAAATACTTTGTCTCAGTCAGTAGCTTATATTTTCATCCTATTTACAGGGTCTTTTGGAAAGCAAAACCTTTAATTCTGATGAGGCATATTTTGTAGATATTTTTTCTCATGATCATGCTTTTGGTGTCATGTTAAATACACCTTTGCTTTGCCATGTATCCTGAAGATTTTTCTACTGTTTCTTCTAATATTTCTTCTAAATGATTTTTGATTGTACATTTTATACTTAAATCTGTGATCCATTTTGATTTTATTTGTGAATATGGTGTGAGTTTAGGTTGAGGTTGTTTTGTTGTTGTTGTTATTTTTGCCTAGAGATGTCTAATTGTGCCAGTACCATTTGTTCAAAGAATATCTTTCCTCCATAAATTGTCAGTGTTCCTTTGTCAATCAGATAGACATACTTGTGTAGAGCTATTTTTTTATCTCTATTCTGTTCTATTAATCTATGTGTCTCCCTTTGCCAATACTTCATTGTCTTGATTTTGGTAGTTTTATGGTAAATATTAAAATAAAGTAGACTGAATTGTCCCGTTTTATTCTTCTCTTTCAAAAGGAGCAATGAGGGAATTCTAGCCTAATCAGACATTTAAATATGCCCTAAAACTTCTGTGATTAAAACAGTGAAGCAATGACACATGGACAAATGAAATATAATAAAAAATATATAAGTAGACCTAATTGCATGTGGGAATTTAGCATACAATACAGAAAAGACCACAAATCAACAGGGAAGAGGTGGGTATTTAAGTTAGCAGTTTTGGTACAGCTGGAAGAAGATACAATTGAGTCATTCCCTATAATATACATCAGGTTTTAAAATGAATCCTCAAATTTATATAAAATCATACAATTACCAGAAAAAAACATGGATGAAACCTTCATAATCTGTGAGTTGGGAAATTTTTATAGTTTATTACTCAAAATCCAGAAGCAGCAAAGAAGGAATAAAGATAAATTTTATTACATTTAGAAAATAGTTTGTGTGACAGAAAAATGTCATATGAAAATTAAAAGGGCACATTACATATTAGAGAGAAAAAGAGAGTAGCACTAATAAGACAAACAAATTATGGATTTTCCTAACATAAAGAGAGCTTTCAAAAGTAGAAAAGATAAAAGCCAACAATTTTTCTAGAAATGGAGGCTAAAGAAATAAAAAAAAAAGTCAACAGAAAAAGAAATGCAAATAACTTGTAATCATATGAAAAGATGTTCAAACTTGTTTATACACTAAGAGAAATGTAAATAAAAATTATATTGAGATACTATTTTTTACCCATCAAAAAGGCAAGAACTCTGGTTGACCATAACAGTATATAATGAAGCTCTGAAGAAGCAGGCATTCTCATACATTGCTGATGGGAATGCAAAGGATGAAATCTCTTTGGACAGGAATTTGGCAATACCTAGGAAAATTACATATGCACATTTACCCCTGGACCCAGAAATTCAACTTCTAGAATCTCTCCAGAAAATACACCTTACAGTCATCGCACATTTCTCAAATTATCTTTTAAGCTCATCATTACTTCAACATTTTCATAGTTTAAAGGCTCGATCCTGTTATTAAATGGCCAAAGAAAAAAGCAAATATACTCTCATATCACAATTTAAGTTTTTAAAAATATGTTGAAACACTCCTTTCATGTCATTTGAACTTTAAAATAAGATAAATATCACTCCTATGGGCATAGGTATTGTACCTCTTAACACTCTCTTCCCCACAAGGACGCACACACACACACACACATATTTTGAAAATTCTTAGCCTGTACATATAGTCTATATGTATACATATACATATAGAATATATCATTACGGGGCAAGAAAAGGCATGGCCTGGGCTAAATATCAAAGAAAAGTACTAAAGCAGTGAGATGAGGCCTTTGGAGATAATTCAATCACAGAGTGATTGAACAGCATTCACACAGCCTTTCTGAAGTGGAGAGCCAAGAAAATCCACCCTCTTCTTCCAGTAAAAGAGGATACTTTTGGTCTGTATTAATGAACTTGGCTATTGACCAAACCAAGAATAATTATGTCTTACTTTGACCAGTTCTTTATTGTCCTAAACTTTAGGTTAGGACATAGGTTATAGAACCTACCTCCCTGTTGTACAGATGAGCAAACTAAGCACAGCCTAACTGGGATTGGGCAAGCGAGCCATGTAGGGCACAATATTTGATGGGGCACTTGCTGCTAGGACCATGTATGTGCAGGGCCAGCCTGGAGATTGAATATGTACCTCCTGGAGTTCTGTTCTCTGAGTACCCCAGGCACCTCGACTTTGTGTGAGCTCTGAAGCTGATGCCCAGGAAGACAAAGTGGTTGGTCAGCTCACGTGGCTAGTTGGGACAGAGATAGGACTCATACCGCTTCTCTAATTGGAGTCTAGAGTCTTCCCCCTACACTAGGCTTCCTCCACCCTTGCCATTGCTCCATAGAAATACCTTCAAGGCACAGTGGTCAGCCCCCTTGCCTGGATAAGACTGTGGACCAATTTTGATCATGGCATCATGACCACAAGAGCACAGTTAGACTTCATCTGCAGCAAGGTTATCACACTGTTCAAGTAGCAGGAAATGTTTATAAGTTGAATGAACAGGTAAACAAGGGAAATGTTTTTCTTCATATTGAAGGTCAAGAAACAGTTTTAAAGTGTTAATTAAAATTTTATAAATAGAGCTATTATAAGCAAACAGTGACTTCACTAATTTACAAACCATTCCTCTCATTGATTGAAACACAAAGAAACCCTCCAAGGAATAAAATAGCTTAACTTTTTAAGACAGCATTGGTTATAGATTTAAAAGCAATAGTTTTGCATTTCAAGAATGTGCCAAAACTTGGGGTTTTTCGTAAAACACATAGACCTAGTAATCCTCATTTATCCTAGAGAAATTAAAACTTACATTAGCACAAAATAATTTGTACTTGAATGTTTGTAGCATCATTATTTCTAATCACAGAATACCTTAAAGTAACCAAAATGACCTTCAAAGGGTGAATAGATAAACTATGGTATGTCAATACGCTGGAATGCTACACAGAAATCAAAAGGAATGAACCTTAGGTATACACAACAATGTAGATGGATCTCAAATGCTTTATGCTGAGTGAAAGAAGACTGACTCAAAAGATGACATTATAGAAAAGGCAAAATTATAGGAGGAGAAAATAAATCAGTGGAGATTGGAAGAGGGGTGGACCTCAAAGAGGCATGGGAATTTTTTTTTATATACTTTAAGTTCTAGGCTACACGTGCACAACGTGCAGGTTTGTTACATTTGTATACGTGTGCCATGTTGGTGTGCTGTACACATTAACTTGTCATTTACATTAGGTATATCTCCTAATGCTATCCCTCCCCCGTCCCCCCACCCCACAACAGGCGTGTGATGTTCCCCTTCCTGTGTCCAAGTGTTCTCATTGTCCAATTCCCTCCTATGAGTGAGAACATGCGGTATTTGGTTTTTTGTCCTTGGGATAGTTTGCTGAGAATGATGGTTTGAGGTGATAAAACTGTTTTAAATTTGTTTGTGGAGGAGGTTACTGGACTGGATGTATTTGTCAAAAATCAAAGAATTATATATATTTAAGAATAAATTTATTATAAACCACATTATGACAGCTGTTTTTAAGCATAACTGGATTCTTTGTAATATTATACTATATATTTCATTGCATGCATATTACAAAAATTAATCTTAGAAATGATCAATATGCTTCACGAGGTTGTCACAGGAGTCCATGAGGAAAAAAATTAAGAACCTCTGGAGAATGTCATATTACTCTTGGCCTCTGCCTTTAGTGAATCTGAGCTCCAATCCTGTCAACCCCAAGTGTCAGCCAAATACTCAGCTCACCTCTCAGCTGCTTCTCAAGGATTCAGAGACAGAGGACAAGATCTCACTTTGTGTGTGTGTGTGTGTGTGTGTGTGTGTGTGTGTGTGTGTGTGTTTGTGTGTGATGGAAGAAGGTCTCTTTAATCCTTGTCTCATCCCTGGCTCAACATTACATTGCATCCCTTCATCCTTTGTGCTTGCATAACTCTCCCTCCCAACTGCCTCCCTCCGGATTCCTGGGAAGATGTCAGTAGGCAGAGCATCCCGTTTTACATTTTGTGCTCCTATTTTTACCCATGACTTGTTCTAGTAATCTTCAGTATCTTGTTAGCTCTTTGATGTGATTAAAACAAAGTTTTCTGTATTTTTGCAGCATTTTTAGTTGTTGTTAGTGAGAAAGTTGGTTTAAAACACGCAGCCTACCATTGCATAACCATGTTTTAATGGTATTTGAACTATTTGGTATTTGGCTCTTTAAGTATTGCATATTTTTTAAAAATTTAAATTGACTCATTCTAAAAGCAAGGTTGTGTCATTCTTACTTTTAAGTGAATGGATACCAATGATAGGGAATGGAACAATCCCTGTGACTGACTATATCTCATATTCTGTTAATGGGGTATAAGTATACATTCATCTTTGTTTCTATCCACTAGATACCATCATGATTCAAAATCAAAACTACTTAGTAAATCATGCTTGTAAGTTTAAAATTGGGCTTTTGTTTAACAGTTATTTCATTGCTGATTTTGAATTATGTTCATATATGAGGTTCTTAATTACAATTTCTGTCCAATTAGGAAGGGATTAAGGATAATCCTATACCTCACAGGACTTTTTGCAAGCTACAAAAATACGGTTTCATATGATATAGTGAGGCTGTGAGATTAAACATAGATCCTTTATTCAAGTGTTTCTAAGACAATTATTAGCACCATGACAATGAAGATTTAAATACAGAGAAAAGTTTTCAAACCTGCGATGATATGTTGAGAATAAATTGAAATAAAAGACGTTAAGAAAAAGGAAACCAAGCAGTTATGAGGTCCAAGGCCTAGAATCAGAGAGGAACCCTAGGGAGGCAGATTTTCAGTCACACTTTGAAGACCTTTCTAGCAGCCACAGTTGTCCAACAATAAATTTGTGTCTGCTGCACATGGCTCTGAGCTCTTCACCACAAAAGGGCTCTATCACGGCTGCACAGTCACTTTCTAGAGCAGTTTGAATCATGTGTGATTCAGTACAACATGACACATTGGACTCCTGTCCTGGAAGGCCTTTCTAACTCTAAGAATCTGTGAATCTCTAATACTAAAAAGAGTGACTTTTTTGTGTCTTATCTAAAGTTATCTAATTAGATATTAAATAATATTAGACTTTGTCACCTTTAAGGTGAAGAGAATTGAGTTAAGTGTACTTCTCAGTTTTTGGTATTATTTATGCTGGCCTATGCAAAGCTGTCCTCTTTTTTAATTAATTTAATTATTTATTCATTTCTTCTTATTTCCACAGTCTGTTCCCAATTCCTTCTCCTACATTAGGCAAATTGTGTGTGTGTGTATGTGCATGTGTGTGTGTGTGTGTGTGTGTGTGTGTGTATTTTAATTATATACCTTATTTGTATGAAAAACTGTGTCCTTGCAAAGTAAGCATTTGTCTTGCAAAAATGTATACTGTTGTTTTACATGTATGCATTTTCAGTTTATACTAACATTGTGCAACATATTTCATTCTGTTGTGGGTTTTTTTTTTGTTTTTTTGTTTTTTTGTTTTGTCCTTCAGTGCTTACCTTCCATTTGTTTTTATTACATTTGGTTTATTCTTTCCAGTTGTGGCACAGACCTTTATGGTATGAATTGTACCATATTTGACCTACTAAGTCTCCACCTCCACAAATAAAAACTTTTATCTATGTCCACTTATGGACTGTTAAATAATGGCATTGCCATTTTGCATGCGTATTAGTCAAAGTTCTCCAAAAAATAGAGCCAATAAGGGGTGTGTGTGTGTGTGTGTGTGTGTGTGTGTGTGTATGTATGTATGGATGTATAAAGAGAGAGAGAGAGAAAGAGAGATGGAAAAAGATAAATTTATTATAAGCAATTGGCTCACATGATTATGGAAGCTGGTAAGTCCCAAGATCTTCAGGGTGAGTCAGCAAGCTGGAGACCTAGCAGAGCTGAGAATTGGAGGAGCCAATGGTGTAGTTTTGGTGTGAGGGCTGGTAGGCTCAGGACACAGGAAGAGCTGATGTTTCAGTTCCAGTCCAAAGTCAGGAATAAACCAATGTCAGGTTGAAGGCTGTCAGACAAGAAGGATTCTGCCTTGCTAGGGTGAGAGGTGGCCTTTCTGTTCTACTTAGACCCACAACTAATTGGATGAGGCCCACCCATACTATGGGTAACAATTTAAATGTTAACCTCATCTAAAAATGCCCTCACAGAACCACCCTCACCAATGTTTGACCAAATGTTTGACCAATGTTTGGCACCCCATGGCCCAGTCAAGTCAACACATAAGATTAACCATTGGACAGCACATAAAACCAGGAGTTTAAATGCTGGATCATGAAGCATGTATATACTTAACTTGATCAGGAACTGTCAGTTAACACTCTTGATTGGTAGGCCTCGTCCTACTTCCACTCACAGTGCATCAGGTTCTTACTCTCAGAATTCTTAATCCCTGCTAACACTTGGCATCATCTGACTTTTTAACTTTGCCAACCTACAAGGTTTAAAGCGCTATCTCATTATTGTTTCAATTTGCATTTTTCATATTACTAATGAGTTTGAACAGCTTGTCATATGCATACTATCTCACTTCCTCGTCTATAATTGTTGTTTTAATATGTTTAAATCTCTAATATGTCTAAACTTATCACCCCCTTTCATTCAGTATTTATTTGTATTTTCCAATTTTTCTTGTTCAGTCTTGCCTGAGGTCTACTTTGTTAATCTTTTCAAAGAAAAAATGTTGGGTTTTGTTAATCTTCTGTATTGCTTTTATGTTTTATATCCAAGTTTTCTTTATTTAATATTTATCTTTCTTTACCTTTCTTGAGAAGAAAGATGAGAACTTATTCTACACAGCCTCCTCCTAAAAGCACAGCACAAGAGCCTGACACATAGCAGGTCACAATACAAGTTCATCAAATGACTGAATGCATGTGAAAACACATTATTGCTGAAGTATAGAGATTTATCTCATTTTTTAAAATGAGTTTTCTCAATTTAAAAAATGATTTGGATATGGCCAGAGGATAGAAATGGGACAAGCTGAGGAGATGAACAGTGAATATTTAACCTGCCTCTCTACTAAAGTTTGATTACTTTCATTGAATGCAAACATGCTTAGGAATGTGGGGCATTAGAATGGAAATTCTCTTTTCCAAAAATAATACCAAAGCATCAGCATACAGAGTTTTAAAAGCAGAGTTATGGAGACTCTGGCTCCTAGAAATAGAATCACCAGTAATACTGAGAAGAGTTCTGTGAAGTTGACTTACTAAATGAGTATCTGATATATTTTACTTTATACAAATCATGAGGATTATAACCTAGATGAATAGAATTCTAGAGAAAAACTATAGCATAAATTAAAAATAACTACTACTAAAATGATCTTACTTATGCAGTAATAATGTCTAGGTAAGTGGATATGAAACATTAGCCAACAGGTATGACAATATCTCCTCTCATTGAGGGAATAATGGAGGAGGTTGTGTGGGGGAGATTGCTGGCAGCTATATTTTTTAAATGGTGAGAGAAATGACTTTCTTAAGGAGCACAAAATCAAAAAGTAAGTCTTTTTCCAGCAAAATACCACAAAAGAGAGTCAACATACCAAAGAATACGAAAGTTGATATCATGTAGGAGGAGAAAGTTCTGGCAAAGTTCCTTGTGACAAGAAGCTTTCAACAACAACATAAAACAACTTGAAGTACCTCATAAAGTTTTATCAAAATAACGAGGATACTTAGTAATTAACGTTTCTCAATTACAACATAAATTACATGTTATACTTTACAATAGGGTTTATGGGCTTTGTGATATTAAAATTATATATTCAGATAACATATTTTGTCCAAGCAAAGAAAAAATATATGCTAAAACTCACACAAAGTTTTTACATCTGAGAAATATAACAATCAATCTATTGCTTTCAGCCCTCAAGAGATTACCCATATTACTAAAAACTATTTGCATTTGGCCACTTTATATGAGATTTGAAAGAGAACACTGAATCAATTTAACAAATTTGAAAGAATAGCTTCTTTATTGCTTTTTTAAAAACTCACTCATCTGGAATTGCCATTTTTCCAAGAAAAGTCTACATCCTATATCATCTTAAGGCAATGGCTTTTTCTTAAAAGTAATTGGAAGAAATTTCTAGCCCCATATTTACATCATACAGATTTGAATTACTTCAACAAAAGACAATGCATTTTGTGATTCATTAAATTCAAAGCACTCAGAGTATCAACAGTTAAAATGTCAAAGCCTTGCCCTGTCTAGACATCTCAGCACTCTCCATACACATTTGAACTTTCAAAGTAGATGTAACAACTATAGGAACAAATAAAGTCACTCTCATAATTAGGATGCTATTTTTTATATATCATAATAATTGTTTTCTTTTAAAAACAACTTTGGAATTCAAATCATATTAGGAAAAAAATTGACAATTCATCTCAATTGCTGCAGTGATTTACCAATACTTTTAAAAATTAACTCATCCCTACTTATCTAAACAATGCATACAATTTATCATTTTTATTCTAAATTAATAGGATAGCACATCCCCTAAAGCTGTAATCTAGAGTGAAAATCGAAAGATAATTCAGTAAAAGATAAAGAACAGCAAAGTATTTTTCCTATAAGGTGATAACATGACACGGCATTAAAACCTTCCTGATTGTCCCATATAACTAATGTTTATGGTTTCTTTTGAATAAGCATAGAAAGTGACCCTGTCAGTCTTAAAACTCAAGAAAATTACATTTGTCTTATCTGAGTTCCTTTCTCAGGAAATCAAATCAGGTCTCCCAGATAGTATCAAGGAACTGAACCTTATGTGATCAACACATCTAGATAATGAGATGCCAGACCCCTCACTTATTGTGAATGCCTAAGCGACCACCTGCTTCCTGTTGACCAGTTTCTCTTTCTTACCCCTCCCTAACTCCTGTTTTCCCACACATAGTTACATTTGTCCCCTGCTATATAAAGCTTCCAATTTTAGTGGATCAGGGAGATGGATTTGAGACTGATTTCCCGTCTCTTCAGCTGCAGCATCCAATTAAAGCCTTCTTCTCTGGCAATATTCCTTGTCTCAATGATTGGCTTTCTGTGCAGCAAGCAGCTGGAGCTAGACTGAACCCCTACATTTTGATAACAGCATGAATTCCCAAAGAAGACATCATTTTTCATCATGCCAATGAGTGTGAATGTCCACCTCAGACCTTCTAAGCTGGATGAAAAACTGCTAATACCTTACTTCAACCCTGACTCTTTTCTCAACTGTCGCTGAGAAAGTACATCAAACCATTTGCCCTTCCCCAGCATGCACACACACACGCGTTTGCTGATCATTGAAAAAGTAGCTGGGGCCACATTGAGGGTCAGCCCTGAGTTTTGCAGACGTTAAATAATTAATCACAGAAAGTGAAACGTCTATGGCTTTAGGATGAGGAGTTCTAATTTCCCATGCCCACATCCTCAGAAAAACAAAAACAAAAAACCTTCTGATTGCTTTGACTTGGCAGTGCTCTTTGAATCAGTAGGACCCAGGACACGTATGAGGGCAAAAGAAGAAAGTGCTGTGTGGGACCAGGCAACATGCTGAATAGTTGCTATGGCATGATTCATGATTGACAGTTAGAAGGTTAGTGCTTTGGAAATAAGTATCCATTTTGTCAATAGTGATAAATCTCTTTCAAGTGACATACATTTGAAATTGTGACTTTGAAATTTTTTACAAGTCACGCACTTGTCACAGTTAGGTGGGAATAGGTCAAACAGTTAGACTAGGACTTTGTCTCATAGAGAAAGAACATGAGCATTTTTAATTTTTAATAGAGAAGACTCTGGAGTTTCCCAAAAAATAGAATTGCTAAATATTCTTACCTTAAAAGAGTAATGTAAAATCAAGAAAGACCAAAGGAAGCCATATAAATATACAATTGTCTTCAAATATCCATTTTTATAAGTGAAAATATGGCACATTCTGTCATATTTGCACAGTTACTAGACTATGGAAAATGTGGAGTCTGACTGAATTCCACCACATGGTTGTGTGGTCTGGGCTTCATATGAAACTGCCTATGCTGATGCTCGAAGAAGTCTCAAGCTCTTATAAGTGAAGCACAAGTCAGCCTACTAATCTGTAATCAAGATCAAATAGTAAGCAGAAATCCCCACATTTGTGCTAGTATCATACAAATATGAAAATAAACATAACAATAACAAGCTCAACGTATTTCATTACACAGTTCAACTTGGCAACCCTACTGGAAGACCGTTCAGCTTTGGTGAGTTGTATTTGGAAAGGGTACTTAGGAGTATATGTTGTCTTAAAAGAGTGAGGTTTCACTTTGAAGCTGACAGGGGCTGGTGCCCAGGACATTTGACCTCTTCTTCCACCACAGTGGTAAGACAAAGATTTAATGAGAATTTTACCCATAACATGTAAACATGGACAACATATTTGAGGTTATATTTTATCTATTGCTACTTTTGTGATACCACATATAAAAATGTTAGGGAGACTCACATTTGTTTTGGTTTCTAGGGGTTCTGAGAAAGATGCATTCCCTCAAAAGTGATATATCTAAGTTAGTGACCCGGGGGACACCAAGAGTCAGAAACATTTGATCTGACTCTTCACTAAGATGCAGAGACCTTAAGAACAAAAAATATTACCAAGAAATGAGTTACAGAACTAGAAATACCAAATAAGAGAAAAGTTGATTATTTAAATTTTGAGAAGAATTTTCTACAATGAAAATACAGTGTACCAGAAATACTGACTATGAAAATAGTGAGTGCCAGAAATCCCCATAACATAAATACTGAAAGATGGAAGCACAGAATGCTGATGTTAGAAGTACTCTTGAAAAGTCCTTTCCACCTATAAGGACTTGTACACAGGTTAAAATCTACAAAGTACTTGTGAGTCCTCAGCAATAATGTGAAATATCCTGGATGTTATTATCATGGAATCCAAAGAGCCTTGCTTCTTCTTAACCTTTTACTAAATCCTCTTTTTTATCACATCTCTTTGTGGTGATATCGACCACCTGGTATTTAGGACTAAAGCCTCTTTCAACAGAAGCTTTGCAATGTTTTCAAGAGCAGCTCAAAAGCTGAAATGCTTTATGAAACACTCCCATTTCTTCATTCATTGACATGTCAGCCTTTCAGTGAGGCAATCTGGCTTCCATGAATAAAAAATGAATGAAACACAGATTCTTAAAACATAATAATTACAATTAGTTTCTCCATTTGAAATAAACCATAACACAGGCTGTGGAGAGTGGGAGTGAATAGTTTGAGATCTCACTGAAAACCTAGGTGGTCTGTCCCATTAGAAGCCAGAAGTAAAGGAGACCAGAAAAACAAGTATGGTCCAGACCCATGAGCATTGGAAATTTTATGCTACATGAAAATTCTGTTCATTTGGTTTGTTTATTTCATTTCTGTGACTAAACTTAGCCTCCTTGAACAATCTTCTCAGTTCCTTTGTACCTTGGACATGTATCTGGCAATTTGCTTTAATTGATAAAGTGCAAATATTTCAGTGCTGGCAAATATATCAATGGAACAGAATAGAGGTCTCAGAGAAAGACCCTCATAAATGTGAACAACTTATCTGGTACAAAGCATCAGGTGCAATTCCATGGATAAAAGATAGCTTTTTCCATAAATGATTACTGAGCAACTAGACATCACATGTACAAAAAATGAATTTAGATATTAACTTTACATGCTTCACAGAAAATACCTCAAAATGGATCACCAACTTAATTGTAAAATCAAAACTAATAAACTCCTAAAAGGTAACACATTAATAGAAGAAAATTTAAAATGGACTTGGGTATGGTGATGACTTTTTAGATACAACACAAAAAAGTGAGATTCATGAAAGAAATAGTTGATATGCTGGACTTTGGGAAAATTAAAACTTCTGCTCAGTGAAAAGCAAAGTCAACAGAATGAGAAACAAGTTACAGACTGGGAGAAAATATTTGAAAAATATACACCTGATATAAGACTTCCAAATAATACAAAGAACTTCTAAAACTCAACAATAAGACATTGAACAGCCTGATTAAAAATTGGGCAAACTCTATAAACAGACATCTCTCCAAAGATATAAATATGGCAAATAAGCACAAGAATGGTTGTTCAATATCATATGTCATTAGGAAATTGCAAATTAAAATATCAAGTTACAACTATATACCAGCAGAATGGACAAAATCTAAAACACATGAAGTACAAAATACTGGGAGGGTGTGAAACAACAGGACCTCTCATTCATTGATGATAGTAATGCAAAATGACACAGCTACTTTGGAAGACAGTTTTGTGGTTTCTTAGAAGAAATTGGTGATTTAGGTTATCAGATTTGTCAGTTATTCATAGTATTCTTTTATTATCCTTTTAATGTCCATGGGATCTATAGTGGTACCTCCTTTTTCATTTCTAATATTAGAAATTTGTCTTCTTTTTTCTTAGCTTGGATAGGGGCTTACTGATTTTATGGATCTTTTCAAAAATCAAGCTTTTGGTTTTCTCTATTTCCTATTTTCAATTTCATTGCTTTCTGCAGAAATTTTTATTGTTTCTGTTCTCTTGCTTACTTTGGATTTAATTTGCGCTTCTTTTTCTAGTTTCCTGAGGTAGACACTTAAATGATTGATTTTAGAACTTTCTTCTTTTCTAATATATGCATTCAATGCTATAAATATCCCTCTGTGTACTTTTTGTGCATCCTACAAAGTTTGATAAGTTGTATTTTTATTTGATTTGGTTCAAACACTTTTTAAATACCCCTTCAGATTTCTTCTTTGAACAATGTATTTATAAATGTGTTGTTTGAATTCTAATAATTTGGATATTTTTCTATCTTTCTGTTATGATTTTTATTTTAATTCTATTGTAGTCTGAGGGAAGACATTGTATGATTCTATTCTTTTTATTTTTAAAATATATCTTATGGTCTAGATTTCTGGCTATCTTGGAGAATGTTCCATGTGAGGTTGAGGAAAATTTGTATTCTGCTGTCAGATGAAATAGCCTTTAAATGTCCATTATATCCCAGTGATTAGAGATTCTGTCTTCAGGATTCAACTGTTTCCTTACTGATTTTCTGACTGTTGGATCTGTTTATTTGTGATAGACTGGTTTGGAAGTCTCCAACTGTAACAGTGAATTCATCTATTTCTCCTTGCAGTACTATTAGTTTTGCTTCATGACTTTTAACATAATGTGCCATACACATTAAGGATTGCTATGTGTTCCTGGGAAATTGACCCCTTTATCATTATGCACTGACCCTCTTTACCCCTGACAAGTTTCCTTGCTCTGACGTCTGCTCTGTCTGAAAATAATATGGCTATTCACACTTTCTTATGATTACTGTTAGCTTGGTATGTTTTTCATCCATCCCTTTGCTTTTAATCTATGTGTCTCTATATTGATGATGGAAATGCAAAAAGGTAATATGAAAGGGGAATGCAAAAATATACCATACTAGCACACACTAATCACATGTGAGTTTCTTGTAGATAACCTATAGGTGGGTCTTATTTTTAATCCACTCTGCTAGCAATCTGTATCTTTTAATTGGGGGTACTTTAAGCATTGATGTTTAAAGTGATTATTAATAAAAGTAGATTAATATCTACTACATTTGTTACTGTTTTCTATTTGTTGCCCTTATTCTACATTCCTATTTTTGTCTTCTGTATTGTTTGGCCTGCTGTGGTTTAATTCAACACTTTATATAATTCCATTTTATTTCATTGTCTTAGCTTATCAATTATACATTTATTTTTTAGTGGCTGTCCCAGAGTTTGAAATACACATTTACAACTAATTCAATTTCACTTTCAAATAACACCATATTGCTTCATAGGTAGTGTAAATATCCTATAACAACAAAATATTATAAATTTCTCTCTCCAATTCCTTGTATTATTCCTGTCATTTATTTCACTTACACATAAGCATTTATAATATATATTACATAACATATAATTGAATACATTGCTGCTATTATGATTTTGAACAAACTTTTATTTGTTACATCAGAGTCAAAAAATAAATCTTTTTAAAAACTTCCTTTATTTATTTTTCCATGCTCTTTCTTTCTTTGTGCACATGCAAGTTTAAGACCTGTATCATTTTCCTTCCCTCTGAAGAACTTATTTTAACATTTCTTGTAAGGCAGGTCTCTTGTCAGCAAATTCTCTCAATATTTGCTTGTCGGAGAAAGTTTTTATTTCTCATTCACTTTTGAAGGATAATGTTGCAGGGTACAGAATCTATGAATGTGAATCTACAGAATTTGCTGACAAGAGATCTGCCTTGAAAGAAATGTTAAAATAAGTTCTTCAGAGAGAAGGAAAATGATATAGGTCATAATCTTGGATATGCACGGAGAAAGAGCATGGAACAATAAATGAAGTTTTTAAAAGGTTTTTTTTTTACTCTTAAATGATGTAACAAATAACAGTTTGTTCAAAATCATAATAGCAACAATATATTTTAGGCTGGTGTTTTTCTGTTTTTTTCTCTCCACACTTTAAATATGTCACTCCTTAATCTTCTTGCTTGCATGGTTTCTGGGGAGAGTCATATGTAATTTTTATCTTTGCTCCTCTACAGGTAAGTTCTCTTTTTCACTCCCCATCCCAAGCTTCTTTCAAGATTTTTTACTTATCTTCAATTTTCTACTATTAGAATATTATATGCCCAGATGTCATTTGTTTGTTTGATTGTTTGTATTTATACCCCTTGGTGTTCTCTGAGCTTCCTGGATCTGTGGTTTGGTGTCTGATATTAGCTGGGAAAAGTTTTCAGTCATTATCACTTCAAATATTTCTTTTGTTTCCTTCTTTCTTCTCCTTCTAGTAATCTCATTATGCATATGCCATACCTTTTGTAGTTGCCTCGCTGTTCTTTGATATTGTCTTCTTTTTTTCCATTATTTTTTTCTCTTTGTTTTCAGTTATAGAAAGTTCTATTCTGATCTCCTCAACCTCAAAGATTCTTCCTTCAGGTATGTCTAGATTACTGATGAGCCACACAAAGGGATTCTTCAATTCTGTTACAGTAGTTTTGATCTCCAACACTTTTTATTTTCTCTTAGAATTTTCATCTGTCTGTTTGAATTACCCATCTGTTTTTTTATGTTCTCTACTTTTTTAATTAGTGCATTTAGCATATTAGTCATAGTTCTTTTAAATTCACAGTTTGATATTTATGACATTCCTGTCATATCTGGACCTGGTAATAATGCTTGCTCTGTCTTTCAAATTATGTGAATTTTTTTCCTTTATAAGGAAATCATAAGTAGGACTTATAATTTTTTTATTAAAAGGTAGACATGATGCACTGGATAAAAGGAATTTAGTAAAGAAGTCTTAAGTGATGTAATGATACAATGCAGTGGGAGGGGAACTTTCTATAGTCCTATACTTAAGTCTCTGTCTTTTAGTGGGCCTGACCTATAAATGTCACAAATGCCTTTCAGTTGTTTTGGTTTTCGAATTTTTTTCATCCCCTTAGGTAATGAGGCTAGAGTTGGATATTTTCCTTTCCCCCAGTGAGTTAGAATCATAAAATTTAAGTAGGTTAGGCTCTGGCAAAATAATTCCTCTGGAGAACAGGCCTACAGGCCTTCGCAAGTAGAAGACAAGGTATATTTCATAATGGTTCCCCTACCCTTTCTTCTACCAGAAGTATGAGAATTTTCTCTGATACTTACTTTGAGAACCTGGAACAGCTCCTGGAGGTAAAACTCCCAAGAGTATGGGGGCCTCCCAATAACTGGATCCTTCTTGAGTTTTTACTTCTCAGGCTTGTCCACACTGAGCCTCTAGTAATTCATTGGTTAAAGTTCAGGCTTTCTTTCCCTGGTACTTGATTCTAAGAAGGTTTCAGCTTGAGAGTTGCCACTTCACTCCAGTAAGTCATGAAATATTTGCCTGTGAGTCTCTCCCATTTTCAGAGCAGTGGTTCACCTGTGATCTCATTTCTCCAATGGATCTGAAAAGAGTTGTGGGTTTTTCAGTTTGTATAACTTTTTTATTTCTTAGAATCAAGAGGCCACTTCTAAGCTCCTTATGTGCTGGACCAGAAGAGGGAAGCCAATACTCGTTATTTTTCTCCACACACCTCTTTTTTTTAAAGAGCCCTGGTCTGGGATCAGTTTTATGTTTCTTGGCAATTCTTTCTTGAGATTTTTCTGGCCTCTCACAAACATTTCTACCCAGGCAAAAGATGAAATGTGAGCTCTGCCATGCTGATAATAAAGCAGAGCAAACAGTATGTGTAAACAGCACACTCTTCCCAGTTCCTAACCCTCTTCTGCCCCAACCTATTTGCACTTTTCTATTCTTCTTACTTGGAACTCCCTTACTTAGTTATTTGCATACCTTACTATTCTTATTTTACTTAGGTATCTGCTCAAATATCGGTTTCTCAAAGAAGTCAGTCTTGTTAAAATATCAGTCAGAGTGCTCTCTATCTCTTTAGTCTATTTCATTTGCTTTATGGCATAATATGTGTTTTTGTGTATTTGTGTGTATACATATAGAGCCAAATATGTATGTATATATGTGTATACTATATATACATATACAATTATTTACCTCCCATACTAATAGCACAATGATAATCAATATTTTTTGATGCTTACCATGGTCCAATGCCAGATATTTACCTTTTATATATGAAGAAACTGAGGTTCAGAGAGCCTGTCATCTGCTTGAGTTCAGGAAGCTGGTATCTAACAGAACCAGCGTTTAAACTCAAATGCATGTGACTCCCAAAGTCAGTCAAGGAACACACAATCTCCATGGTGTGTGGCCCAATAGGAGAACATTCACACTTATATATTATTTTATATGTGTGTGTGTATATATGCACACACACACACATATATACACACGCATTCACATATATACATATTATGTCAATTATGTCTGTATATATTATGATATATATATAATACCCATGTATGTATGTATCATGTTTATTAATATTTATGACATGTATATCATATGCATTATGTGTGTATGCTTCTTTATTGTATGTCTCTCACTGAAATGTGAGTTCCATGAGGGCATGAGCTTTACCTTGTTAACTACTCTACCCCCAGGTCCTAGAGAACTAGGAACAGTCTGCCGGGTGCTCTTTAGAGATCTCCTAATATTCTAATAGTTTTTGAGGTGTTCTCCATAACTCTTTTAGGCCTTTCTACAAATACCTGTTGAGTAAATGAATAAATCTGTAAATGAATATATCCAGGAATACATGGATAAATTAAAATGAAATTTTGAAAATTACGGTTGTATAGATGATATGTATACCTCAGGAACAGACAAAAATATGACTTGGCATGTAACAAGGCTATGTTGGCATTTCTTTCTTCCTAATGATATTAAAATTTATTTTATTGATCATCAGTTTGCAAATGGGATGTTCAGGTAATGAACTCAAGTAGAGGCATACATTCATTCATAAAGAAGGCTTACTTTTGAGGGGAATGTTTACAGGACAGAAGAGGAGGGGAGCATTATTGCAATGCAAAATAACTGCCAGACTTTTTCAGAGACCAGCTTAAAGTTCTGTCAGATTAGTTGCTATTTTAGACTATATTGGTAGATCTCCAATAGCTATAATTAAGTTTTTTCTTCTCAAGAAGAAAAAAGTGATCAATGACATTTTCTAAGGTTTATTTTAATTGTGTAGCAGAATGCATCTCTCAAATGCTGTCATTTGTGAGGACTTCAATAGAAGACTTAATGAGGGTTTGGAAACATGCAGACAGTAATCATCATTTATCTCAGGCTGACAAAAAAAGTGTTAACATATCTAAAAGGGGCCTAAGGTTAATTGATATTTGGCAAAATGAAAGCCCTGTTTAGAGTATTTTGTCACAAATTGGAGTACATCAATTTACTTCTTGAACCTCATATCAGCATAATTCTGCTTGCCACCTTCCATTTTCATATATCTGAGTTTGCATTTCTAATCCCAATGCAGGAGTCAAAATTTTTTTTAAAAGCCAGGATTACAGGACTTAAGGTCTACTTTTAGTATCAAATAATTTATAAGTATAAATTTAAAGTATAAGTATAATACAACATTTCTAGCACATGGAAAATTCAGGAGAAAAAAGGAAAAAAATATTGATTCATAACCCAAATTATCAGGTGCAAATATTTTGAAGTATTAAGTTTTATAATTTATTATTATTGTTAAGAATATTACATTTTATTGTATATACAATTTTTAACTTGTTTAACTAAATTAAGGAATTGTCATCATACTTAAACATTTGATGGTTATATAATACATCATATAATAATCTATTGTATGTTTATAATAATCTATAGTATATTTCAAAATAGCTAGAAGAGAATTATTGGAATGTTTCTAGCATAAGGAAAAGATATTTAAGGTGCTGGATATCCCAATTACATCGACTTGGTCTTTATAACTTATAGGAATATATTAAATAAGCAGATATACTCTGAAGACATGTATATCTATTATGTATTAAAAAAATTAAATTATATATATTAAAAAGTACATTAGAAGCAGATTTATTCAGTCATTCATTTGGTCTTTATTGCTGAGAACTTGGAATTTTCTTTTCTTTGCACTTTTTTCCATGCTTCATTGAACATTTTTGTGACGGTTTGTTTCTGAATTCAATCTAATGCTCTTGCTCTGCAGTCCAGACAGTAGAATTTATGGATCAAAGATTCAGAGCAATTGTAAAAGTCCATTTTTAAATTTCCAATTTGTTTTAAAAGGTTGGACCATGCATTATTATTTTCCATACTAGAGATACAATAAGGTCTGAATCCATCATGGAATATATGCCATCATCCTGACCTTGAATTTTCCCCTGTCTACAGCAGATGGGACCTGGGCCAACCTAAGAAAACTCTATTATTTTTTTAAAATATTTTGTTCTGTGAAACCAAAAAAATACAACTTCTGTTCCACAATATATGTGGAGTTGGGACCAGAGGTAGTGTCAGGGTTGGTTGAAACTACCTGACATGTAAGCCAAAGACATGGGGACAAGGACACAGAAACCATGGGAGAAACAATGAGCTTGGCAGAAGCAGCCAGTTTGCATTGAGGCAAGAGGCCAGGTAGTCCCAGGAACAGGGAAAGCCTGTGATAGGTGATCAAGTCAGCCTCAAGAGTTGGTACTCCCATGAGACCTGACTGTACTGTCCAAGTGAGCCCCTCTTCTTACAACCAACGTTCTATTTTTATAAACTTCTCTGAGTGCATGCCTGCTTTTTGCAACAGAAGATCCCTGTCGAAGCACATGTCAGTGCCAAAAATGACAGCTTTTAAAATTTAACTGTTTCCAAATTCTCATGATCTTCCAGAGAAGCCAAAGGTAATAGATACACAATTACTGCTTAAGGGCTGACATCAACTAAAGACCTATTTATGAGATCTCTCTATATAAACACATACGCACTCATACTTTATGACCATACATACATATACACGCACATATATGTGTGTACACACACACACATGCACACACACACACATCATGACTATGGCTTTCTTATGGAAGGGCTCAATACAGATTTGAAGGCCAATGATGGTTACCTGCAAGCACAACTTAATACCATCCTTTAATGCCCTGAAACCCAAGGAGAGAAATGTGTGGAAAAGCAAATCTATAATTTAACCTCATGAAATGGCATAAAAGAATGTAGAAGTTTATAGAAAATCTACAAATTAATTGAGAGAAATTTACAATTAGCTTCCAAGTAAAAGGTCAAGGAGGGTAATGTCATAACATTAAAATAATAAAGCATTTAATAAACTATTAACATGCCACACAATAGTAATTCTGCATCTGAACTAGCAGACAAGCGGTTACAGGGAAACGGGAACTTAGTGGTTGATCCCACTGAGTCACAGCTGATGTGTTCCTCTGTGAGCAAGTGACAGAGCCAGGACATGAGCCTAGTGCCTCTTTGACCCGCAGGTCATGGTTTATTTCCACTAAACCAGGAAACAGAAAACAGATTTGTCCTTACGATATTGACTTATCCTTAAGGCAAACATATTTTGTAGGGCTTGCTTTTCTATGATGGAGGATTGCAACCTCAGGCAGCTTGCCATTATATCCTCAACTCACATCCTCCAAGACTTTTTGACTTTTACAATTGCAGACTGTGGGGACTAAGACATATAATCACTAACATAAGAGGCTGAAGCGATAAGACTTAGAATATGAGTTTCCTGAATCATGCACACTTTAGGCCAAGCTTGTGGGGAAAGTGAGAAAAATTACATGGAAGGAAGAAAGAAAAAAGAGTTTTCCAAACTGTATTTCCATGTTCAGGCTTCCTCTCTCTGCTCCCAGCTCGACCAAGTACTGGTCAAAATTATTCTTCTGCTTTCCCAGATTCTGTTGAATGTTTTTAAAGTATCACCGTTTAGACTCACCCATTCATCTACCTCTGAATTCAAGGGAAGACTCACATTACTGATTTTTCTTACCATGAAACTTTTATTTTCAGGCCCAAGTAAATTGATGTTTATCTTCAATTCCCTGCATAATCTCCCAGGCACACTCACTCTATGTCGACGTGCTCTACGAGACATACAGCTACACTGTGAGTGAAATGGAATGCACTTACTGAAATGAAATGTAAAAACTAAGAAGAAAAAAAAAATCATTGCAGCACTCCCTCACCCCATTTCTAAAGGGTCAGGCTAGAATTTATCCTCCAAAGTATTCTCCCAGGCTTTATCTCACCCTGGGCTTGATGGTGCTATTTGGAGATTCCAGAATTAATTTTATATCAATAATATTCTACCTTATTATGTTTACGTATTAAATCATTCACTCATTGAAAAAACATTTATCAGTGACCTTTATGTGCTGGGCACTGTGCCAGACACTTAAGGGATAAAATACAGATTTAGTAAGATCCGGATTCTGTCTGTTGCAGGAAGAAGGAAAATAACCAATCAAAGAGGAGTGAGATAGGGCTTCAGGTGGAAACCCTGGAGACCAAGAAGAGTACCCTTATTCTGCACAAAGGCTATCAGAAGAAGTTCAGTCAGAGAGGCCACTTGTGATTTAATTCGTGCAAAAAAAAAAAAAGAGGTCATGTGCAAAAAAAAAAATACAGCTACCTACCTGGCTACCATAACTAGGGGAGATGAGGACACATGAGTCTTGCAATGTGACAGGGCCCAGTGCTGGAGGCTGGGTGGGGATAGGGAATAGTAGGATGATTATGGGAAACAATCATGCCCAGTGAGGCCAAAGGCCAGGCTACATCACAGAAGACCTCTTAAGCCTTGGTAAGGGCTTTAACTTTACTCTGCCTGTAACTAGCAGTGGCTGGGGCAATGTGAAGGAGGCTGCCTTGATGGTGGTCATCTGGGTTCTGGTCCAGAGCTCATTATAGGTGGCAGATGTTAAATTCCAGATCCTACAAGATCAAGGAGGGGGTTCTAAATTCCTGGTTTGAAGAAGAAAATAAGGGTTAGGAAAAAAAACAGAGTCTCTGTTATGCTATTTATCAACTATAAGACCAGGATCAATAAATTAACCCTTTCTGCCTGCTTATTTGCACATTGAGAGTGAACTGGGTTGCCCTGATTAGGCAAATATCTTAGTGTATAAAATGTCTTCCTGCCCTTGTGAAGATAAAGCATGTCATGATATTTACTAAGACTCCCTCTTCCTGCCCCCTTCTCTAAGAATTCCACCTTCACCACCTGTGTCAATCGTGAGCTTTGGAGTTGCAAGTGCCAAATCTCTGGCTATAGACCTGATTTCAATGGGCTGAAGTCAAATCTTTGGCTAAAGGTTTGAAAGTCAGAGTCCTAGAGGAAGCCAATAATTAGACTCTGCTGTGTGTGGCTGGGTTGCCTGTGACCTTCTAACCTATTCTTGGCATGATCACAGTCACCTCAGTTGGCTCTGGGGAAGTCAAGGGAAGAGGGATGCTGGGTTCCTATATTCATTTACTTCCTATTGCTGCTGCAATAAGTTACCACACAGTTGGTGGCTTCTGAGAAACCATATTTGCCCTCTTAGAGTTTGGTGCCCAGAAAGGGTTTCAGTGGGTCGAAATCACAGTGTCAGCAGGGCCACACTCTCTCCAGAGGCTCTAGGGGAGAATAATATCCATGCCTTTGTTGGCCACTAGAGGCTGTCCACACCCCGGGGTGGGTGGCTCTCTTCCATCTTCAAAGCCACAAAGTCTTCAAATGTTGCTCCCTCTGCAAAGGTCATGACAATGCCTTTTCTCTTCTGTCCCTGTAGTCAAATGCTTCTCTGCCTCCTTCTACAAGTATAAGGACACTGTAGTCAAATGCTTCTCTTCCTCCTTCTACAACTGTAAGGACACTTGCGATTACATTTAGAGCCCATCTGGGTAATCCAGGACAATCTCCTTATCTCAAGATCCATAACTTAAAACTCCTTGTGCTATATATGGTAATGTATTCACAGGCTGAATGGGGATTAAGGCTCGGACATCTCTGGGGGCCATTACCTATGCTACCATAACTCCTTTGACGAGTAAAGCCTGGGAAGTCCTAGGGCCCAGTGGCACCTGGGTTAAGGTGAGTCAGACACCCCCGAGCACATGATTTAAGGAGGCCCTTGCACTCAGGGACACACAAGTGAAAGATAACCACCTGAGAATGAGCACCTCCTTCAATTTTGTGCAATAGGTGCCTCTTTCATCCCAGCTTAGTCTGAGACCTGTCTTGGAGAGGCTCAGTTCTCCAACCTAGCAAAGCAGCAGTAGACCAGAAATGGGTGGGGGTTTGTCTAGGCAGCAGGCTAAGACAGTCCACTGGAGTTCCTGCTGGTTCCCAGAGCCAGGCTAAGTGTCTGTGTGTCTGTGGAGTGGGGGCATATAGTGGCAGACAGGCAGGAAGGTGTAGAGCAGTAGAATGATTTCCCAGTAGTGCAGGAGTAACACCTCACTCTAGTAACAACCCAGTGTAAGGTCGATTTTGCTCAGACAGAGCCAGGCTTGGAGAGGCTTTGCCTTTCTCTGGGAATGTGATTGATTGCAAGCCACCTAGGATATGAAGTTATCTCAGAGCTTGTCTGCATGGGCGTCATCAAGGAGTAAATGAGCTCTCTGTCCCCCAGAGGTACGTGCATCAGAGAAAAATGATGGGAAGATCATAGATCGGCAGCACTTAAACCTCCAGGGGAATGGGGCCTCAAAGAGGAAATGAAATGCAGCATTACACATCATGTACATGCATCCACAATGTCTCCTGTATGGAACACATTCAACAGTGATGCTTCTTTTCTCCTGGCTCACCCCACAAGGACTAGAGAGCTGTTTGTGCACCATTTGTTCTGAGCTTCCTGTATCTTGGAAACTCAGTGAAGACCAGCACCTTCCTCAGACCCAGGCCTGGCTCTCTTCCTCCCGGCTGAATGTCCACCAATTGTCTTCCTTTACACCTCCTCCTTCTTTGCATCATGCACTCCCAGCAAAGAGGACAGTGACTCATGCTAATTATACAGTAATAGAAGAAACACACACACACACGCGCACTCTTTTTTTTTTTTTCCCAACAGCAGCTGGGACTTTCTATTTATTTGCCCGCTATTTATAAGTCACTTAGACAAGAAGGCCTTATCTCCTCCTCCTACCACACTCTCCCAAATGAAGTTTCTCTAGGGCAGATCCACTTTTATCTAAATTGGTTGGACAGAGGAGCACAGCATATATAATCCATAATGAAACAGATAAAGCTGTCTCCTTGTGCTTGATATAAAAATAACCAACAAGAAAATGAGCATGGATAGGGAAAAATTAATTTACTTCCCTGCCTAATTACTAGATGCAGGATAAATGTATCTGCTTAGCTCTCTAATTATAATAATACTTAGCAGTTACGTGAAACTCTTTATCATCAAAAATACCACCCTCCACTGACACTAAATAATTAATCTTTGGCACCCTAGTGTGAGCATCTTATCTGAGCAGGAAAAGGACCATTGGTTGGAGGAGAGTGGAGCAGGGTGAGGTGCAAAAACTCCTTTCATCACTAAGCAGAAACTGTTTCCTGGGTCTCAGTTCCCTGGCCTCCACTTGCATGCTTGGGAAGAATCTGCCTGCCAGGGCTCTGCCAGCTGCAGAGAGAAGTCTACCATCCAGTGCCAGAGGCTGTGATCACTCACCCCACTGTGTTGCCAGAACTCCTCCTCCAGCAATGGCCTGAGGTGTCCCTGAGACAGCAGAGCCCCAGGGCGCTAAGCGAGAGCAGGAACGGTTATCAGGCCAGCCACATAAGGTGTCTGCAGCCTGTTCATGGGCTTTCTGCTCTGTTCCTGGTTTGATGTTATGTTGCCCAGCCCTACCTTCCTTTATCCTGTGGTGGGATTCAGCTCCTGGCATCACTCATGTCCACTCAGAAGTTCTGATAAGGTCTGTGACTCCCACACTCACCAGGTATAAGCCAAGTCGTTGCCTCCATACCCTGTGGTCTTACTGAGAAATCCTGCACCTGAGCTCAGATGCTTTAAAGGAACACAGTTTCTGGCTTGGGGTAGAATGGGGTTTGATGCTCCATCCTCCTGAATGGCAGCTGTCTGTTTTCCAT
Source organism: Homo sapiens (assembly GCF_000001405.40). Lineage (NCBI taxonomy): Eukaryota > Metazoa > Chordata > Mammalia > Primates > Hominidae > Homo > Homo sapiens. The sequence continues at coordinate 85,320,468 of NC_000010.11, forward strand.
CCCTGAGGGACATGTCCTTGGGCCCACCCCCCTTCCCACATCTTCCTCATCCCCCACCCTGGACCATACCAGAGAGGGCAGGAGTCTTCGACCCAGACCAGGACTCAAGCTACAGATCAAGGGGAAGGGAATTGTGTCCTGTCTCCCTACCGCATGCTTTCCAGTAGCTTCTAATGCCCTATGGTTATCAGACAGTGGGATATATTAGAATTACTTAAGAAAGAAAAAGTAATCCAACACAATCATTGTGTTTGGTACTTGGTAAATGCTTAATGAAGTTTGTTTTAAAAATTAAAATATTCAAATTATTTGCTAAAAGTTTATTTTTGGTGACTTTCAGGGAAAGGGAAACGCATAAGCAAGCAATCAAGGGAATCTACAACTATGAGACATCAGCTTCACCTCTGGCTGGGGTTGGGGAAGAGGCAAGCATTTAAAACAATCATCTCTACTTAAACTGTGGTTGTATTCTGCTTTTTTTTTCTTATTTTTATAAACATAATAGACCATATGCATATTGCTTAAATTTAAAATTTGTTAAAGTTCAAATCAACTATAACGGGATAAGGATTATAACTTCTAATTACATAGCTTTCAGGCAATGTAATTATGCAATAGTTTGGGGGGAAGAACAGATGAATGCACTGCAATGGATCTCTCTTTCTCCTTTCTTAATATTGGGCTTTATCCTTAACCATGGAAAAAGGCCAAACTCCTGGATCTCCACCAATCATCCCCCCATAGTTCAGTTAAAAATACATTTCTGGTTAAATCATGTGGATTCAGAATGGGAAGGAGGCAAAGAAATACATGAGTTTGCTACATCTTCTCACAACACGCCTGTGAGGTGGGGACCCTTATTCCTATTTCACAAATCAGAAATCTGAGCTCTTAGGTCCAACTCGATGCTAAATCTCCAATGCCTATTTCTGTTTGTTACACAGTGGATCAGGTCAGAGCATCAGTTCCAGGCAAAGAAGACAATAGGGTAAGGCTTTGACAAAGAAAAGTCCCAGCAAGGAATGTTACTGTCAAGAAGTCATTGAGGCACCAGAATGTGGGAGAAGGATCAGACCTTTTCTTCATGGAACCTGGAGATGAAACCACAGTGAATGCTTCAGGAAGCTCAGCTTGCTTTCAATGCTGAAAGGAAATTACCAGACCTTCTGTGTTCTTACAGACAGTGGATGGCTTCTGTGGTGGTCAGCTTTCTAGAGATGAATAAACATAGGAAATAAATAGGCTTATCAGAGATGCAGTAGGAGAAATGCAATCTGCAATCAAATAACTGCTTCTCTTTAGGTCATTTTCAAATCTGAGGACCTCTGAACTCTGTGTTTCAACTCCTGTTGTCTTAGTTTCCTCATCTTCAAAATGAGAGAAGTTGAATTAAAGCCTAAATAAATGTGTCAAGTTTCATAGCTACACATGTGTGTATGTGTGTCCTGAAATGAAGCCTATATTTAAGTCTAGCTTGTGAAATTTCCATATTACACTGCTGCATTCAGTCAGCTCACCACATGTTACTGCAACAAATGATAGATCATATTTCCTGATCAGTTGATTAATAAAAACAATTAAAGAGAAGATAATCATTATGCTATTTAGATTGATGAAAAATGGCAATAAGGAATGATATTCAGAGTTGGGTGGTCTAGGTTTTTCTTAGAGGATGACTATCTTATTTTCATAATAAAAGCAGACACTATACACTAAAAACATTCAATCTGCGCTTTCTACTTTCCAAGCGTGTACTATGTTTCCAATATGTAATCTGTACAGCAAATTTTTATTGATAGTTACTATTTCCATTACACAGAAGAAAAAAATAAAGCTCACATGTGAGAGGTGCCATGCCCAAAGTCCCCACAGCTGGTAATTCCAGTCTGATTCTGAAGCTCTTGCTCTTTCCATGGCATATACTGCCCAAGAATAATAAGAGAAACTGGCCCCAAAGAGTTAAGATGTTCATTCTCATAATTTCATGCCAAATTAATTTTTAGTAATGTGGGCCTGCAAAACAAGTGGCACATTTTTTGGTGCTGGATGCCCTCTCCCCATCCTTGAGTTTGCAACGTTCCATCCTCTTTGACTCAGGAGCCCCTCAGCTTTGGAGCCTGCCTTCTCCAGTAAACATGCTGAAGAGCATCCTCTAGAAAGTGCCAATTCCCACTCCACACTCAGATCCCCAGTAAAGAACCTCAACCTGGGTTCTTTCAGCACTGCTTGCTTACTCATGCACAGAACCAGCTTCCCTGAGATTCCCAGCAACACTCTCTGTCCTTAGCTATAGCATCTTAAAAAGTTAAAGACAAGCACATTCTCTTTTTCAGAAAATTAACTGCTTTGCACTGACATATGCTGTATTGACGAAGGGCCGCAGGCCTTTCTCTCCCCAAAACTTTCAAAACATAAGGCTTCTGTCCAAAATAGAAGTGAATGTTACACTGTTCCCACAAAAGAAGGAAACAAGAGGAGTCTCAGAGCCACAAATGTTCTATTTCCGAGTTCAGAGCAAACAAAAAATCCAGCCCAGAGGGGATGGATTTGGTGGGAAGGGGGAGCGAGACATGCAAACTTTATTCTATGTTTAAATCTCTCAACATATGGGCTGTTTCTATTTTAGGATGACAAAAACTGACTTCCATATTATGATAATTAATGACATACAAAGAGGAGCTAAGCTACATTTGATGTCCCAGTGGGCTATCCCAATATCAGTAGTTTGGGGACCATGTGCCCAATTTGTAGATTAGATTAGAAGACATCAATTGGCATTGCTCAATCTCCCAGCTATTTAAAAGCAGAGGCTCTAAGCCAGTGAGTGACCTCATTTCTTCTGATGAATATCATTTTCTGGGATCAACTTTTAACAACTTGGTACATCCCTAAAATGAAACCTGATGAGATCCAGGGTTGGTGGGAGACCCTTGCCAGTGCTGGGATGAGGGGCAAGCATTTCTGAAGGCTAGTGATGGGGATATGGCACTTGAACTCCAGTATAAAGAGCTCTTTGTGGGGTGATCTCAGGGCTTAACAGACCTCTGGACCATTCTTATTTGTCAGACTAATGGAAAACATATTTGAAAAGTCAAAGGAAACAAACCCTGTGCATCTTTCCCACAGATAAGAGTGGGCTAGTTCTCACAGTTCATATTACATGGTACTGCTAGCACTGGGATCTAACTTCGAAGACCTCACACTGTAACCCTTCTCTGTGCCTAATCTGTGTCTCTATTCCTCACCCTTGACTGTCACTTGACAAGGATCTTGTCTCTAATTAAGATTGCAGATTGCAGTTCTACAGTGATTCCAGGTTGGTCTCAAACTCAGGCCCATTACTATACCTAGCTCTTTGGCCCCAGAAGTCTCTTTTAGGTGTGTGCCCGTGTGTATCTTTAATTTTTTTTTCTCTAACTAGACATGACATATGAGAAGCTTGGCATTGAAAACATAATATTCAAATCTGGGCTATCTTGTCTCTCACTCAGAGTTCTGTCTGGGCTTCCAGAGTCTTGCATGTGTCATGGTTTTAGGGTGCAGTGGGAAGCATGTGCTCAAGTGGCTGTCTAACCTGTTGCGTGTGCTCAGACGCAATGGCTTGTGTTTGGTTTCTGGCTCAGTCCACACAGGTATTGCACTCCTGGTTTCCAGCTTTCAGGCTCCTTGCTCTGTAGCTCTCTCTCAGCTGCCTTTTACAGCTGGAACTGTACCACCTCAGCCTTGGGAAATCCAGCCCTTTATTACAACCATATTACTCCTGGTGCACAGGGATGCTCTCCTTCACTGAAAGATTCTGTGCTAGGGCTCTGAGACTCCTTCAGGGCTATTAGTACAGACACACCTGTAGCCATTTCTCTGTTTTGTATTTTATTTTATTTTTCCATAAGTTATTGGGGTACAAGTGGTATTTGGTTACATAAGTAAGTTCTTTAGTGGTGATTTGTGAGATTTTGGTGCACCCATTACCCTAGCAGTATATACTGCATCATATTTGTAGTCTGTTGTCCCTCGCCATCCCCCCCCACTCATCCCCACAAGTCCCTAAAGTCCATTGTATCAGTCTCACACCTTTGTGTCCTCATAGCTTAGCTCCCACATATCAGTGAGAACATACGATGTTTGGTTTTCCATTCCTGAGTTACTTAACTTAGAATAATAGTCTCCAATCTCATCCAGGCCACTGAAAATGCTGTTAACTAATTCCTTTTTATGGCTGCTTAGTATCCCATTGTATATATATACCACAGTTTATCCAGCCGTTGATTGATGAGCATTTGGGTTGGTTCCACGATTTTGCAATTGTGAATTCAGCTGCTATAAACATGCGTATGGAAGCATCCTTTTCAAATAATGACTTCTTTTCCTCTGGGTGGATACCCAGTAGTGGGATTGCTGGATCAAATGGTAGTTCTACTTTTAGTTCTTTAAGGAATCTCCACACTCTTTTCCATAGTGGCTGTACTAGTTTACCGTTCCACCAGCAGTGTAGAAGTGTTCCCTGCTCACCACATCCACACCAACATCTACTGTTTTTTTATTTTTCGATTATGGCCATTCTTGCAGGAGTAAGGTGGCACTGCATTGTGGTTTTGATTTGCACTTTCCTGATAATTAGTGATGTTGAGCATTTTTTAATAGGTTTGTTGGCCATTTGTATATCTTCTTTTGAGAATTATCTATCCATGTCCTTAGCCCACTTTTTGATGGGATTGTTTTTTTCTTACAGATTTGTTTGAGTTCATTGTACATTCTGCATATTAGTCCTTTGTCAGATGTATAGATTGTGAAGATTTTCTCCCAATCTGTGGGTTGTCTGTCTACTCTGCTGACTGTTCCTTTTGCTGTGCAAAGGCTCTTTAGTTTAATTAGGTCCTAGCTATTTATCTTTGTTTTTATTGCATTTGCTTTTGGGTTCTTGGTCATGAAATCCTTGCCTAAGCCAATGTCTAGAAGGGTTTTTCCAATGTTATCTTCTAGAATTTTTATAGTTTCAGGTCTTAGGTTTAAGTCCTTAAACTATCTTGAGCTGATTTTTGTGTAAGGTGAGAGATGAGGATCCCATTCCATTCTCCTACATGTGGCTAGCCAATTATCCCAGCACCATTTGTTGAAAAGGGTGTCCTTTCCCCACTTTATGTTTTTGTTTGCTTTGTCGAAGATCAGTTGGGTGTAAGTATTTGGATTTATTTCTGGGTTCTCTATTATGTTCTATTGGTCTATGTGCCAATATTTATATGAGTACCATGCTGTTTTGGTGTCTATGGCCTTATAGTATAGTTTGAAATCTGGTAGTGTGATGCCTCCAGATTTGTTATTTTTGCTTGGTATTGTTGTGGCTAGGTGGGCTCTTTTTTGGTTCCATATGAATTTTAGAATTGTTTTTTCTAATTCTGTGAGAATGATGGTGATATTCTGATGGGGATTGTGTTGAATTTGTAGATTGCTTTTGGCACTATGATCATTTTCACAATATTGATTCTACCCATCCGTGAGCATGGGATGTGTTTCCACTTGTTTATGTTGTCTATGATTTCTTTCAGCAGTGTTTTGAAGTTTCCTTGTAGAGGTCTTTCAACTTCTTTGTTAGGTATATTCCTAAGTATTTTATTATTTTTTTTGGCAGCTACTGTAAAAGGGGTTGAGTTTTTGATTTGATTCTCTGCTTGGTTGCCGTTGGTGTATAGAAGAGGTACTGATTTGTGTACATTAATCTTGTATCCGGAAACATTGCTGAATTCTTTTATCACCTCTAGAAAGCTCCTAGGAGTCCTTAGGGTTTTCAAGGTAAACAATCATATCGTCAGCAAACAGTGACAGTTTGACTTCCTCTTTACTGATTTGGATGCCGTTTATTTCTTTCTTTTGTCTGATTGCTCTGGCTGGGATTTCTAGTACTACATTGGAGAGGAGTGGTGAGAGTGGGCATCCTTGCCTTGTTCCAGTTCTCAGAGGTAATGCTTTCAACTTTTCCGCATTCAGTATTATGTTGGCTGTGGGTTTGTCATAGATGGCTTTTATTACATTAAGGTATGTGTCCCTTGTATGCTGATTTTGCTGAGAGATTTAATCATAAAGGGATTCTGGATTTTGTCAAAAGTTTTTTCTGCACTATTGAGATAATCATGTGACTTTTGTTTTTAATTCTGTTTATGTGGTGTCTCACATTTATTGACTTGTGTATGTTAAACAATCTCTGCATCCCTGATATGAAACTCGCTTGATCATGGTGGATTATCTTTTTTAATATGTTGTTGGATTCAGTAAACTACTATTTTGTTAAGGATTTTAGCATCTATGTTCATCAAGGATATTGCTCTGTAGTTTTCGTTTTTGGTTACATCCTTTCCTGGTTTTGGGATTAAAGGTGATGCTGGCTTCATAGAATGAATTAGGGAGGCTTCCTTCTTTCTCTGTCTTGTGGAATTGTGTCAAAAGGATTGGTACCAATTCTTCTTTGAATGTCTGGTAGAATTCTGCTGTGAATCTGTCTAGTCCTGGAATTTTTTTTTTTGTTGATAATTTTGCAATTACCATTTCAGTCTCGCTGCTTGTTATTGGTCTGTTCATGGTATCTAATTCTTCCTGATTTAAGCTAGGAAGGTCGTATTTTTCCAGGAATTTATACATCTCTTCTAGGTTTTCTGGTTAATATGTGTAAAGGTGTTCATAGTCGCATTGAATGATCTTTTGTATTTCAGTGATGTCAGTTGTAATAGCTCCTGTTTTCTTTCTTAGGTTATTTGGATTTTCTCTCTTCTTTTCTTCGTTAATCTTGCTAATTTTCTATCAATTTTATTTATCTTTTCAAACAACCAGCTTTTTGTTTTATTTATCTTTTGTATTTTTGTTTGTTTGTTTGTTTCAATTTCATTTAGTTCTGCTCTGATCGTGGTTATTTCATTTCTTCTGCTGGGTTTGGGTTTGGTTTGTTCTTGTTTCTCTAGTTCCTTGAGGTGTGAACTTAGATTGTCTGTGCTCTGTCAGACTTTTAGATGTAGGCATTTAAGGCTATGAACTTTCCTTTAGCACCGCCTTTGCTGAATCCCAGAGGTTTTGATAGGTTGTGTCATTATGGTCATTCAGTCGAATAATTTTTTAATTTCCATCTTGATTTCTCTTTTGACCCAATGCTCATTTAGGAGAAGGTTATTTAATTTCCATGCATTTGCATGGTTTTGAAGGTTCCTTCTGGAGTTGATTCCCAGTTTTATTCCACTGTGGTCTTAGAGAATGCTTGATATAATTTCAATTTCCTTAAATTTATTGAGGGTCATTTTATGGCCTATTATATGGTCTATCTTGAAGAAAGTTCCATGTGCTGTTTAATAGAATGTGTATTCTGTTGTTATTGGATGAAATGTTCTGTATATATCTGTTAAGTTCATTTGTTCCAAGACATAGTTTAAATCTATTGTTTCTTTTTTGACTTTCTGTCTTGATGACCTATCTAGTGCTGTCAGTGGAGTACTGAAGTCCCCCACTATTATCGTGTTGCTGTCTATCTCATTTCTTAGGTCTATTAGTAATTGTTTTATAAATTTGGGAGCTCCAGTGTTAGCTGCATATATGTTTAGAATTATGATATTTTCCTGTTGGACAAGGCCTTTTACCATTATATACTGTCCCTCTTTGTCTCTTTTAGTCACTGTTGCCTTAAAGTTTGTTTTGTCTGATATAAAAATAGCTACCCCTGCTCACTTTTGGTGTTCATTTGCATGAAATGCCTTTTTTCATCACTTTAAGTTTATGTGAGTCCTTATGTGTTAGGTGAGTCTTCTGAAGGCAGCAGGTAGTTAGTTGGTGAGTTCTTATCCATTCTGCAGTTCTGTATCTTTTAAGTGAAGTTTTTAGGCCATTTACATTCAATGTTAGTATTGAAGTATGAAGTACCATTGCATTCATCATGCTCTTTGCTGTCTGTGTACTTTGGGTTTTTTTAATTTGTTTCTTTTTTTTTTTTTTTTTTGCTTTTTAATTTGTATTTTTGTTTTATAGGTTCTGTGTGGTTAATGCTTTAAGGAGGTTCTGTTTTGATGTGTTTCTAGGATTTGTTTCAAGATTTAGGGCTCCTTTTAGCAGTTCTTGCAGTGGTGGTTTGGTAATGGCGAATTCTCTCAGCATTTGTTTGTCTGAAAACGACTGTATCTTTCCTTCATATAAGATGCTTAGCTTCACTAGATACAAAATTCTTGGCTGATAATTGTTTTGTTTGAGGAGGCTGAAGATAGTTCCCAAATCCCCTCCAGTTTCCAGGGTTTCTGCTGAGAAATCTGCTGTTAATCTGATAGGTTTTCCTCTATAGGTTACCTGGTGCTTCTGCCTCACATCTCTTAAGATTCTTTCCTTTGTCTTAATTTTGTATAACCTGATGAAAATGTACCTAGGCAAAGATCTTTTTGCAGTGACTTTCCCAGGTGTTCTTTGTGCTTCTTGTATTTGACGGTCTAGGTCTCTCACAAGGCTGGGAACGTTTTCCTCAATCATTCCCCTAAATATGTTTTCCAGGCTTTTAGAATTCTCTTCTTCCTCAAGTTTGGTGGTTTAACATAATCCCAGACTTCTTGGAGGCTTTGTTCATATTTTCTTATTCTTTTTTCTTTGTTTTTGTTGGATCGGGTTAATTTGAAGACCTTGTCTTTGAACTCTGAATTCTTTCTTCTACTTGTTCAATTCTATTGCTGAGAATTTCTAGGACTTCACATTTCTAAAAGTGTGTCAAAAGTTTCCTGAATTTTTAATTGTTTTCTCTTTAAGCTATCTATTTCCATGAATTTCTTCTTTCACTTCTTGCATAATTTTTTTGGATTTCTTTGCATTGGGCTTTGCCTTTCTCTGGTCCCTCCCTGATTAGCTTAATAACTAACTTTCTGAATTCTTTTTCAGGTAAATCAGGATTCCTTCTTGGTTTGGATCCATTGCTGGTGAACTAGTGAGAGTTTTTGCGGGGTGTTGAAGAGCCTTATTTTGCCATATTACCAGGGTTGTTTTTCTGGTTCCTTCTCATGTGGGTAGGCTCTATCAGAGGGAAGGTCCAAGGATGAAGGCTGCTGTTCAGATTCTTTTGTCCTGCAGGGTGTCCCCTTGATGTAGTACTCTCCCCCTTTTCCTGTGGATGTGGCCTTCTGTGAGCCAAGCTGCAGTGATTGTTGTAGACTAGCCACCCAGCTAGTCTACCCATCTCTGGGGTGGTACAGGGAGTTGTCTGCACAGAGTCCTGTGATATGAACCATCTATGGGTCTCTCAGCCATAGATAACAGCACCTTTTCTGATGGAGGTGGCAGAGGATGCAATGGACTCTGTGAGGGTCCTCAGCTTTGGTGGTTTAATCTCTGTTCTGTATTTGATTACTTTCCTAGCCAGGCTCCATCTGAAGAAACAGGCATAGACTTGCTTGGAATTTTCTTTTTTATCCTATCAGAAGTAGCATTTTATCCAAAAGCTTAAACATATCCCCAACATCTAGTTTGTTCTGGCGAGTGGTTTCCCTTTCATACTGCATTTTTGAATTATTGTTTCCAAAGTCATCCAAGGACTCTTAGAATCTAAACCTTCTTTGTATTAGAACTTTGAAAATTCACATGTGAAATCAAGAATTAAGGGATATAATATGTGTGTGTGTGTGTGCATGTGCACACATGCATGTTTTATAATTTACAAATTAAATATTTTCCTTACCTTAACCAATCTTTTTATTTTATCAACTGAGATGATTACATAATTTCTCTCTTTTATTCTATTAATGTGGTAAATTGCATGACTGATTTTCAAATGTCAATTTCTGAGTAAAAAAGACAGCTTAGTTAGAAAGCTTAGTTGCCTTTTATGTAACTGGATTTGGAATTTTTGCATGTATGTTCCTCAAAGGGATTGTCTTTCTTTGCAAACTCTGTCAGATTTTGATATTAAGTTATGTTGATCTGATAAAATCAGTTGGGAAGTATTCCTTCTTATTCCATTAACTGGAAAGTTTGTTTAAGGTCTGTGTCCTTTCTTTCATAAGAATTTGGTTGGTTTCACTGGTGAAAGCATATCAGCTTAAAGTTGTGTTCTGTGGAAATTTTTAATTTCTTTAGTAGGTATAGGTTATTTAGATTATTTGTGCCTCTTTGTGTCAGGTTGGGTTCAATTGTATTCTCTAGGAATTTATTTCACTAAAACTTTCAAAATCATGTACAGAAAATTGTTCATAGTGCCCCCTTATAATCTTCTAATCTTTTTAAAGTATCTATTGATTCTATAATCAGAGTTTTCATCTCATTTCATTTTGAAGTTTATGTCATTCATTTATTTTTCTTGTTATTCCCTTTAGAAGTTTATCAATTATTTTAGTCATTTCAATTAACATTTGCCTTTGTTTATTATCTGTGTAATGGGTTTATTTTAGACTCCAGTGTGTTTAGTCCTTACTGTTCTCTTCTTTCTACCTTCTTTGGCTTTAATTTGATGCTTTCTTTTGAACTTCCTGAAATATAAACTGTACCTATATTCCACATGTTTAAGGTTATACATTTCCCTTTAAACACATGTTTAAGTTTATAAATTTCCCTTTAATCATAGCTCTACTCTAGTATCAAATTTAAATACATACAATTTGTATTATGGTTCAATTCATTATTTTTTGTTTCCCAATTTCCATCTTCATGCCTTCCTCTACCATGGATTCGTTAGAAATGCACTACTTAATTTTCAAATGTATAGGATATTCCAGCTATTTTTTGCTATTGACTTCTACCATAATTCTTATCCAGTTAATAAAATATTTTATAATGCCTCCTCTTTTTTGTATTTGTATTCTCTTTTCTACTGCATATTTGAAATTATTGGTTCCAATGTCATTCCAATCAATTATAGAATCTAAACCTTTTTTCTAATAAGAGCTTTAAAATTTTCAATCATTTAGAATCCGATGAGAATTGCATTTATCCAGTAATTGGTCAATTATAGTAAATGTTCTATGTACTTTTAAAAAGAAATGTATATTTTATAATTGTGAGATGCATTATTTTAATCATTTTAACCAGATTCTTGATTTTTTTGTCTTTATATTATTATCAGTAGTATGGTGGTATCTTATCTTTCACATTTATTATGTCTTCATTTAAATTTTTTCTTGTTTTAGTTTTGTCAGTATTTGCTTTACATACTTTGAGGCTATTGTGAGTTGAATTGTGTTTTCTAAAAGAATATGTTTAAGTTCTAACCTGTGAATGTCCTGACTTTATTTGGATAGGGTCTTTGTGAATGTCATCAAGTTAAGATAAAGTCATACCAGATTAGGGTGGTCCCAAATCCAATATGACTGTCGTTATAAGAAGAGAAAACAGAGGTTCAGGGAGGAAAATGCTGTATAACAACAGAGGTAGAGATTAGAGTGATGTGGTTGAAAATCAAGGAATGCTAAGTGTTTATAGCCACACAGGCAGCTAAGAAGAAGCAAAGGAGAATTCTACCCAGAGTCCCAGAGGGGGTATGGCCCTGCTGACCCCTTAATTTTAGACTTACAGCCTCCAGAACTGTCAGAGAATGCATTTCTGTTGTCTTAAGCCACTCATTTTACTTGATTGATAGAGAGAGTATATTATTAGATGCATAAAAGTTTAAACTTTGTGTAATTTTCTGGAGAGTTGAAACTTTCATAGTTATTGCATGTGCTTATTTATCTATGATTTTCAGCTTACAGTCTACTTTTATATTAATATTACTACCCTGCCTCTATTTTGAGTGTTTGCATGCTATAACTTTTTACACCTTTTCATTTGCAAGCTTTGTGCATCCATCTGTCTCTTATATTTAATGTTTGTATGTTTTTTTCAAATAAGCCCAAGAATGCATGCCATTTAATTGGATTATTTAGTTTTCTTACACTAAATGTCAATTTTTGTATTTTAATCTACCCTGTTCTTAATTGCTCTCTATTTGTCCCATCCTCCTATCTTTTTTTTCCCTCTGCCTTCTTCCTTTTCTGAGGAATTATTGTTATTACTTATCATTCCCCTCATTAAGTTGTTATTAGCTTGTTATCCTAGAAAATCCTTCATGAATCTTTGACTAATTAAAGTCCAATGTAAATCAGTACTTCTATCATTTATTAGCCAAGGCAAGGACACTAGAATACCATACCTATATTTAATTACCCTCGAACATACATATTTTTAATTATTTGAACGTTTATATTTTAACCACCATGATACATTATTATTGTTTTTATACACTTAGGATTCATTTACATGTTTCTGCATTTTTACCCTTTCCATTGCTTTTTACTTCTTTCTGCTCTCTTGAGCTTCTACCTGGGATTACCTTTTTTTTCCACCTGAAATATGCACTTTAACATTTGATTTAGTGCGGACCTGCTGGTGATAGTCTCTCAAGTGTGTGTGTGTGTGTGTGTGTGTGTGTGTGAATGTGTGTATATGTTTGAAATATCTATATTTTTGCTTCATTTCTGTTTTAGCACACATGTCCTGCTGTAACAAAATAACAAAATACCTGAGACTAGGTTCAGCATCTGGTGAAGTCTCACTCTTTGCTTCCAGGATAGTGCCTTGTTGCTGTGTCCTCTCATGGCAGAAGAGGTGAACATGGTGTTCTCACAAGATCGATGGAAAATGGGTAAAAAAAAAAGGTCTAGCTATTTCTCCAGAGCTGTTTTATAAGAGTACCACAAATCCCATGTGTAAATGTGGGTCCTTCACGATTCAATCACCCCCTAAAGGCTCTACCTTTTAATACTATCACATTGGGTCTTAAGTTCCAACATATGAATTTTGAGGTGCCACATATTTTCCAATCATAGCATTATAACCCTGGCCCCCCAAAACTCATGCCCTTCTCACATACAAAATACATCACTCCATTCCAACAGCCCCCAAACTCTTAACTTGTTTCAGCAACAACTTAAGAGTCGAAGTCCAAAGTCTCATCCAAATGTCATCTAAATCTGATATGGATGAGACTCAAGGTACAATTCATTCCGAGGCAAATCCTTTCAAGCTGTAAGCCTGTGAAATCAAACAAATTATGTGATTCCAAAATGCAGTGGTGACGATAGGCATAGGATAGACATTTCCATTCCAAAAGGGAGAAATAGGAAAGCAGGAAAGGGTAATAGGTTCCAACCCAATCCAAAAGTTAACAGAGCAAATATTGAATCTTAAGACTCCAGAATAATTTCCTTTGACTGTAGATCTCACCTTCTAGACACACTGGGTGGGAACTGGGCTTAAGGCCCTGGACCACCTACACACTAGCTCTCAAGGTTGGAGTTGGTGGCTGCAATTCTCCCAGGCTGTGCAGCTGGTGGCTCTAAAGGGCTGACGTCTTGGAGGCAGCCGTGCCTCCATAGCTCCACTAAGCCTTGCCCTAATGAGGGCTCGTCACAGTGGCCCTGGTGCATGACTCTGCTTGGCATTGCCCTAGAAGGGACTCTCTGCATGGGCTCTGCTCCTATGGGCTCCACTAGGCATTGCCCTACTGGGGACAGTCTGTGGCAGCTCTGTCTCTGTGGCAGTTCTCTGCTGGGCCTTGAGGCTCTCTGAGGCATTCTTTGAAACCTAAGTGGAAGTAGCCATGCCTTCATAGCTCATGCACTCTGCACACCAGCAGACTTGGCACCACACACATGCTGCCAAGATTTGCCACTTGTGCTTCCAGAGCACCGGCCCAAGATACCATTGGATCCATTTCAGCAACATCTGGGGCAGCCAAAATGCGGAGAGCAGAGACTTGAAATGGTGCTAAGCAATGAGCCCCAAGATCCCACAGGTGCCCTGGGTCCCTCCTTTTTAATTGTTCTGTCCTCAGGGGCCTGGTACTCTGGGCCTGTGATTGGTGTGACAATCTCAAAGATCTCTGGAATGCTTACCAGGTCATGTTCCCATTGTCTAAAGAACAGCATTTGGCTTCCTTATATGCATGTTAATCTCATCATCATTCACTTGTCCATACTCTTTGATATTATCTCCTGAACACACCTTTTTTGCCTTAATATTCTTACCAGGCTCAGAATTTTTCAAATCTTTAGGTTATATTTAAAATTAAGTTTGTAATTATAAACTCCATATTTAATTATTGTCTCTCTTCTTATATTTTACTATAAGCAATCAAGAAAAGCCATGGAGCACCCTCAACACATTGCTCAGAGATTTATTTGGCCACATATTCCAGCCCATCACTCTAAAGTTCTGCCTTCCCTGCCTTCCACTGAGTACTAGAGCATGGACACAATTCATCCATTTCTTTGACACTTTTTAACAAGGGTGACGTTTCCTTCATTTCCAATAATATAGTCCTCATTTTTATCTAATACCTCATCAGAATGGTCTTTACCCAAAGCACCTTTCAGATTAAATGAAATCCCTTTAAAAATATCAATGCATTCTTCACAGAAATTAAAAAAATAATCCTAAAATTTATATGGAACCACAAAACACCCAGAATAGCCAAAGCTATCCTAAGCAAAAAGAACAAAACTGGAGCAATTACATTACCAGACTTCAAGTTATACTACAGAGCTATAATAACAAAAACAGCAAGGTACTGGCATAAAACAAACACACAGACCAATGGAACAGAATAGAGAACCCAGAAACAAATCCACACACCTGCAGTGAACTCATTTTTAACAAGGTGTCAAAAACATACACTAGAGAAAAGACACTCTCTTCAATAAAAGGTGCTGGGAAAACTGGATATCCACATGCAGAAGAATAAAACTACACCCTTATCTCTTGCCATATACAAAATTCAAATCTAAATGGATTAAAGACTTAAATCTAAGACCTCAAACTATGAAACTATTACAAGAAAATATTGGGGAAACTCTCCAGAATGTTGGCCTGGGCAAAATTTCCTTGAGCAATACCCCACAAACGTAGGCAACCAAAGCAAAATGAACAACTGGGACTACATCAAGTTAAAAATCTTCTGCACAGCAAACAAAGGAAACAATCAACAAAGTAAACAGACAACCAACAGAATAGAAGAAAATATTTGCAAACTACCCATCTGACAAAGGATTAAGAACCAGAATATAAAAGGGAGCTCAAATAACTCTGTAGAAAAAAATCTAGTAACCTGATCCAAAAAAGTGGTGAAATATTTGAGTAGACATTTCACAAAAGAAGACATAACAACAGCAAACAGGCATATGTAAAGGTGCTTAACATCACTGATTATCAGAGAAATGCAAATCAAAACTATAGTGAGAGATCATCTCAACTCAGTTAAAATGGCTTATATTCAAAAGACAGGAAACAACAAATTCTCGTGAGGATGTGGAGAAAAAGAAACCTTTGTACACAGTTGGTGGGAATGTAAATTAGTAAAACCACTATGGAGAATAGTTTGCAGGTTCCTTAAAAAAACTAAAAATTGAGCTACCATGTAATCTAGCAATTCCAGGGCTGGGTATACACTCAAACGAAGGGAAATCATTATATCAAAGAGATATCTGCATTCCCATGTTTGTTATAGCACTGTTCATAATAGCTAAGATTTGGAAGCAACCTAAGTGTCTATCAACATATGAACGGATAAAGAAAATGTGGTACATATACACGCTGGAGGACAATTCAGCCATAAAAATGAGTGAGATCCTGTCATTTGCAACAACATGGATGAACCGGAGATCATTATGTTAAGTGAAATAAACCAGGCACAGAAAGATAAACATCACATGTTCTCACTTATTTGTGGGACCTAAAAAATCAAAACAATGGAACTCATGAACGAGAGTAGAAGGATGGTTACCAGAGGCTGGGAAGGATACTGGGGGGCTGTGGGGGAGGTGAGGATGGCTAATGATTACAAAAAACAATAGAAAGAATGAATAAGACCTACTATTTGATAGCGAAATAGAGTGATTATAGTCAATAATAATTGTACATTTCAAAATAACTAAAAGAGTGTGGACTGTTGGTGATACAGAGGATAAACGCTTGAGTGAGTAGATACCCCATTCTCCATGATATGATTATTTCATATTGCATGCTTGTATCAAAACATCTCATGTACCCCATAAATATGCATATCTACTATGTAGACACACAAATTAAAAATAAAAATAAAATAAATAAATAAATTGAAGAAAAAATGGCCTTTACTATAGATATTCCTACCAGCATTCTGATCACAACCACTTAGATAATCTCCGAGAAGATTTAGGCTCTTTCTACAGCTCTCTTCTTCCAAGCTTTCACCAGAATCACCTTACATGCTCCATTCACAGCAATCTAGGCTTTTTCTAGCACACACTTCAAAACTCTTCCAGCCTCTGCTCATTACCCAGTTCCAAGATGCTTACAGTTTCTTGTGTTTGTTACAGCAACACCACACTTTTCAGTTCCAATTTCTGTCTTTGTTCAATTGTGCTGCTATAACAAAATACCTGACACTAGGCAATTGAAAAAGAATAGATATTTATTTCTCACATTTCAAGAGGCTGGGAAGCCCAAGAGATGAAGGCACCAGCAGACTTAGTATCTGGTTAGGGTTGACTCTGCTTCCAAGATGGTGCCTTGTTGCTGTGTCTTAACATCGCAGAAGGGAAGAACACTGTATCCTCACAGAGGGAGGGAAGAAGGGCAAAAATTGGGCCCAGCTAGTTCTCTAGAGCTCTTTTATAAGGGGACTTATTCCACTCAGGAAGGCAGAGCCCTCATGATTTAATCACCAAGGGCCACCTCTCTTAATCACACCGGGTCTTAGGTCTTAACATATGACTTTGGTGAGAACACATGCATTCAAACCATAGCAACATCTGAGAGTGATTTATATTTGGCATAAAATTCTGAATTGACAGATTTTTATTTTCTTTCAGTAATTTGCATACATAATTCCATTATCTTCTATTTTACATTTCATTTCATGTTGAGACATCATCTGTTAGCCTTCAAAGAGCCTATTGTTGCTCTTTTAAATTAATACATCTCTGCAACATCCTCTCCAGGCTGCTTTTAAGATATTTCTCTTTGTCTTTGAATTGAAGTTTTACTATTATGTGCCTAGATATGGTCTTCAAAATGTTTCTCCTGTGTGTTTTTCAGTTTCTTGCATCTGGGGCTATATATCGCTTACTAGTTTGTGGAAAATTCTAAGTCATTATTTATTAAACTATTGCTCTCCCACACTTTATCTCTTTCCTCTCCTCCTGGGAGTCCAATTACACATATGTTACATCTTTTCACTATATTTTATGTGTCTTTTATTCTGTTTGTATTTTCATTTCTTTTACGTCTTCATTCTTTAGAATAAATATTTTCTTCTGATCTATGTTTCGGTCACAAATTCTCTCTTCCCCTGTGATCAGTTTGTTGATAAACTGCAAATATGAATTTTTAAATTCAGTTGTTTATTTAAGTTGTTCTAGGCTTTTCATCAAAAATAACATGCACCTCCTCTATTACATATAGAGATAAAACCTTAATCTGCATGGGGAAGTAATCACAAACCACTGTCAAGAGGCACTGATGGACATCCATTGCAGTTGGTGAAGTGAGCAGAAATAGATTTTAACCCAGTTGGAGAGGCAGGAATATGTTCTAGGCACAGTACAAAGTCTGGAGGAGGTGCAGAATCACTGTGAAGGCTGGACACTAGGAAAGGAGGGATACAATGTCTACCTAAGATTGAGGTTTGACCAGAACATCAGGGAACAGTCCTTTTGCCTGCCATCCACCAAAAGGCTAACAATCATGGAGTCAAGTAACAGTAAAATACTAACTGGAAAGCTACAAGAGATAAATCCCTTCCAGGACACAGAGTAAAGAGAAGATCCAGAGTCAAGGAGGAAGCAGACATTGAAACAATAGCCTCTGTCAGACCAGTTCACAACCTCAACTCATGTATCACTAGAGGAATTTGAAGTCCATTTTGCACTGAGGATAACCATAGCAGTGACTAACTTTGAAGCCAGAACAACTCCTGGCTAGGTTAACACACACCTGTACTATAATATCTGCCAGAAAGAATTTGTGCTCATCTTGAAGCATATAAAATACTTTCCTGAGTCCAGGCGTGGTGGCTTATGCCTGTAATCCCAGCACTTTGGGAGGCCAAGGCGAGTGGATCATCTAAGGTCAGGAGTTCGAGACCAGACTGACCAACATGGAGAAACTCTGTCTCTACTAAAAACACAAAATTAGCCAGGTATGGTGGTGCATGCCTGTAATCTTAGCTACTCGGGAGGCTGAGGCAGGAGAATCGCTTCAACCCAGGAGGTGGAGGTTGCAATGAGCTGAGATCATGCCTTTGCCTATAGCCTGGGCAACATGAGTGAAGCTCCATCTCAAAATAAACAAACAAACAAACAAACAAACAAAAAACTTTCCTGGGTATCTACTTTCCTTCACAATATGTCCAACTTTTTAACAACGACAACAGCAACAAAATCACAGCATATGAAAAAGCAAGAAAAACAGATCACCAAAAGACAAAGCAATCATCAGGATAGAAATCATATGTTAAATGTTGAAATTATCAAGTGGAGCTAACAAAAACTGATTAATATGTCAAAGGTTCTAATGGATCAAGATTAGATAAGTAATTTCAACAAAGAGATGCAAGTCATAAGAAATAATTAAGTGGAAGTGCAGGAATTACAAACATAACAGGAAATATGAATGATGCATTCAACAAGCTAATAACACAACACAGCTATAAGAAGAATCAGTGAACTTGAATATAGAGCCATAGTAATTACCCACAATTCAATATAAAAAGAAAGAGAAGAGTGAGAAACAAAATCAGAATGAAACAGAACATCCAAGACCTGTGAGACAATATGAAATTTTTTTACCATACAAGTTACTTGTATTCAAGTGTAAGAAAAAGAGATGAACAAGAATATCTAAGAAATAATGGCTAAGAATGCTCCAAATTGACTACAGACATCAAAATAGAGATCCCAGAAACTCAGAAATCACCAAGATTAAAAAACACCCAAATAACAAGAATGTCTATTCACATCTTATTTATACTGAGAAAACCAAAGACAAGAGGAAAATCCTGAAGGTACTAGAGAAAAAAGACACTACCTAGAGAGGAACAGAATAAGATTTCAGTAGACTTGTTCAAAATCTTGCAGGCAAGAAGACAACAGAGAAACATGTTCAGAATCTGAAATGAAACTCTGCTTCTCCTCAATTCTACCTAAAGTGAAAATGTTTCAAAAGCAGATTGAGAAAAGGATTTTGTATAAGGAAAATGTTTGAAACTCTCAAAACTCAGCAATGAGGAGTCAATCAATCTAATTCAAAATTTTATGAAAACGAGATACAACTACACACCTGTTAGAATGGCAGAAACCCAAAACACTGACAATGCCAAATGCTTTGAGGATATGGAGCAATAGAAACTCTCACTCATTGCTGGTGGGAATGCAAAATGGTACAGCCACTTTAGAAGACAGTTTGGAAATTTCTTACAAAGCTAAACATAGGACTACCACAGGATTCCACAATTGTGATCCTAGATGTTTACCCAAATAAGTTAAAAATCTGTGTTCACACGAAAGCCTGCACACAAAAGTTTATAGCACTTTCATTCATAATTTCCAAAACTTGGAAGCAATCAAGATGTATTTCAATAGATCAATGTATAAACAAACTGTGGTACCTCCATACAGTGGAATACTATTCAGCAATAAAGAGAAATGAGCTATCAAGTGGTAAAGAAACATGGAGAAAGCTTAAATGTATATTTATAACTGAAAGAAGCCAGGTTAAAATGTTTATGAACTGTATAATATCAACTATATTGCATTCCTTAAAAAGAACAGCTATGGACACAGTAAATGGGTCAGTGGTTGCCATGGGTTTAGGGTAGGAGATGAGTAAAGGGTGGATAAATAGGTGCTGCACAGGGCATTTTTAGGTCAGTGGAATTATTCTGAAGGATGCTGAAATGACAGATACAAAATATTTTGCATTTTTTAAAACTCATGGAATTGTACAAAGAGTGAAACCTAGCCTGGCACGATGGCTTACTCCTGCAATCCCAGCACTTTGGGAGGTTGAGGTGGGCAGATCACTTGAGGTCAGGAGTTAGAGACCAGCCTGGCCAAAATGGTAAAACCCTGTCTCTACCAAAAATACAAAAATTAGCTAGGTGTGGTAGCACGTGCTTGTACGCCCAGCTCCTCAGGAGGTTGCAGCATGAAAATTGCTTGAACCTAGGAGGCAGGGGTTGCAGTGAGTCAAGATCACACCACTGCTCCCCAACCCTGGGTGACAGAGAAAGACCCTGCCACAAAAAAAAAAAAAAAAAAAAGAAGAGGAGGAGGAGAGTGAGCCCTAATGTAAACTATGGGCTTTAGTTAATTAAAATGTATCAATATTGGTTCACCAATTGTAAAACATGCAAGCTGCACTAATGCAAAATGTTAAGAATGACAAAATTGAGAGTGAAGGGTAGAGAAAGTACATGGGAACTCTGTACTTTCAGATAGATTTTTCTATAAACCTAAAACTGCTGTGAAAATAGTCTGTTTTGAAAAATGCACAAAAGACTATAAGAATAACAAGTAAAAAACATGCTCACAGATATTACCCATTAGGTAAATGTATAATAAAACATCAATAAGGTGCCAATACACACCTATAAAAATGGCTTTAAAAAGGTACTGGCAATATCAAGTACTAACAAGAATGTGGAACAACTGGAACTCTTATACATTGCTGGTGGAAATCCAAAATGTTTCAGCCTCTCTGGAAAACAGTTTGACAGTTTTTTTTCTTTAACAGAAAAACACACGCTTAAAGTAAGGTTAGACAACCTCACTTCTAAGTGAAAACTCTAGAGCAGTATTTTTAAACATGTTTTTCATCACCACAATAGTAGAAAACCTGTTTAAACATTTTTGTTAATTATCTCCCCATGAAATTTTAATACTACAGGGATTATCTGCAATTGTTTATATACTCTAGATATATCTGTGCTTTATGCATGAAAGGAATAGGATAGTTTTGAACCTTAAAACCAATTTTTGCCACCTTGAAGATAATAATTTTCTCATTAAGAATGTGTACTCTAGATAAACAAAAATTTATGTTCATAAAAAATCAGATTATAAGTATTTTAGCAGCTTTATTCACAATTTCCAAAAATTTAAAAGAATACAATTGTTCTTCAATGGATTAAAAAGAAATGATACATCCATTCAGGAAAAATGCTATTTGATAAAAAGAAACAAACTATTGATACATTCAACTTGTATTAACCTCAGAGGTATTATACTGAGTGAGCTAAGTAAGTCACAAAAGGATGCATATTATATAATTGTATTTATATGGCATTCCCAAAAAGATAGAGTTCTAATGACAGAGAATGAATCAGCAGGTATCAGGAATTAGAAGTGGGGTTAAGGGTGTGTCCACAAAGGAACAAAGTTCTGTTTGAGAGAAAAATTATTTTTTCCTTATTGTGTTGGTGAATGCATAAATTCCTACATTGAAGTATATATCAAGAAGGTCTATTGTATTGTATGGTAACTAAAAATTATAAATTGCTAAAAGGAAGAAGAAATAAAAACGATTTCACATAAGCAAACAAAGTAGACTTCAAGACAAATATTATTAGGAACAAAAGTAAACATGAATCAATGATAAAAGACTTAAATTCTCTAAGAAGATGTATTAATACTAAAAGTATATGCCCCTAACCAAGGTTCCAACTACATAAGGAAAAACTGGTGGAACTGAAATGAGAAATAAATACATCTGTGATTAGAGTTGGAGGTTTCAACACTTTTCTCTCAATTGATAATACAAGAAGGCAGAAGTCAGTAGTTCTTAACCCAAGATGTAATAGATGTAATGTAGGCTTTTGACAAATGAATCTAACTGTGATGCAAATGTATAACACAACTGCACTACAGGAAGTGGGAAAGAGAAACTGGCATAATTATCTTCAGAAGACAGTGATTTCAGCCATATATCATGAGGCTAAAGGCAAAAAGAACTGTATATAAACACTGTATTTTAATTGGTAAGACATTCAAAAACTACTTTACATATACACTAGGTTTTGACAAAATAAAATATATTTAGACAATAAAAGCCAAATTTCTCACTTCCATAGAAAGACGTTGCAAATAAGCAATGGAGAAGTGTTAGAATGAGCCCATGGTGCTGGATTGAAGTTGGGTATATGAATATAAATTCCTATTTTAAAAATGTATCTACAGATACATAGATACAGAAATAAGTATGTATATATACATACATATGCATACATATGTGTATATATATACATATGTGTATATATATACATATGTGTTTATTTATACATCTGTATACATTTTATATGTTTCTGGAGAGGGAGAGAGAGAGTTTACTTTTTGTTTCTAAACACCATTCTGGGCTCCTTGGAGAAATGGGTGATTCCAAGGCTGGGACAGGAGGAATAAAAGATAAGACTAGTGCATCTTTTGATGCCAGCATGTAAGAAATGCTTTTAAAAACAGAAAAATATCAGCATGAGTCTGATATTTCTGAGTCTGGCAGTTTCCCAAACCCCATATATTCCGGATAGCATGAAAAAGCACTTCCCGAAATCTGTTGCAGGGAACACTCTTCTCTCATGAAGGTCCCAGATCAAAGGAACCCACGATCAAATTTTATTTATTATGTCAGAAGTACTTTTCTTTCCTGGATTTTTCTCAGCAGTCTACTTCATGGCTTCAGGTCACAGAGGGCAATCCACAAGAGCTCCCAGCGACCCAGGTTGGAACCATTTGAGCAACAAAATTAAAAAATGGTAGTTTTGGGTAATAACCCAAAGAATTAAATAAATATCCATAAGCCCATACTAATAACAAGTACTTAATTGAATAAAACAATAAATGAAGTAGAAATGCCAACTCTTCCTTACAGAAAAATTTTAATAATCATGGAAGAATGGGAGAAATGGAAAATTATCACTAGAACACAATAATAATTGCGGCACCCAAGATCCACTGAGAAATGCTAAATTTAGTAGATAAAATATTAAAGAGACACAGGATGTTTGCATAACTTCAAGGAATCTCACCCAATGTCTTTACTAATTACTACGGTGTTTGTTTGTTTTTGTTTTTGTTTTTGTTTTTGTTTTGTTTTGTTTTGTTTTGTTTTTTTTGAGACGGAGTCTCTCTCTGTCGCCCAGGCTGGAGTGCAGTGGCACGATCTCGGCTCACTGCAAGCTCCGCCTCCCGGGTTCACGCCATTCTCCAGCCTCAGCCTCCCGAGTAGCTGGGACTACAGGCGCCCACCCCACGCCCAGCTAATTTTTTTGTATTTTTAGTAGAGACGGGGTTTCACCGTGTTAACCAGGATGGTTTTGATCTCCTGGCTTCGTGATCCGCTCGCCTCGGCCTCCCAAAGTGCTGGGATTACAGGAGTGAGCCACCGCGCCCGGCCCGGTGGTTTTAATCTTTATTAATTACTATTGTAGTTTTAATTTTTATTAATTACTATGGTTGATACTTCTCCTTCCAGTAGGTGGAGTTTAATTCCTCACCCCTTAGGTATGAGTTAGACTTAGTGAGTCATCTAATAAATAGAGTAAGGAAAGGTGTAAAGGAAACAGTGCTTTTACAAGAGAGAAACCTGGCAGATGTGACCTTAACCATGTGATAGAGGTTAACATCACGAGTCACATTGATATTGTGTGCGCTTAATAATGATGCAGTATGAAAGGCCGTCACCTCCTGGGTGTTCTTCCCAAGATGTATAACCTCAGTCTAATCACAACAAAACACCAGACAAACATGAATTGGTAAATGTTTTACAAATACCTGGCCAGCACATTTTAAGTGTCAAGGTCACCAGGACAAGGAATAACAGGAATTAATATAAATTATACAAAGATATATGACAATTAAACGCAATGTACAATCCTGGAACAACATCAACAAAAGAACATTAGTGGAAAAACTGAGGATATCTGAAGAAAGTCTGTAGTTTAGGTGTTAGTATTGTTAATTTCTTAGTTTTGATGGTTGCACCATGGTTATGTGAGATGTTAAAGTTAGGGAAAGCTTGGTGTAGGGTTTGCAGAAATGATTTTTGCACGATATCTGTAAGTCTGAAATTATTTCAAAATAAAGAAAAAATAATACACTCTAATAATATTTTATCCTGGAAATGAAGATCCCTTGGATTAATGGCTTGTTTCATCATCACATTTTGAATTATCATCAAACTTTAGCTAATACTAGTGGTGTCGATGCCTTAAAAGTATAGAAATTCTCTCCTCACCTTGAGTTCCTCTTCAGTGACAACCAAGTTATGGTAGTTTTAATTTGCTATACCTTTTCCCCCTGCTGAATATAGTTTGGTTCCTGTAAATGTGAATCATAAGTCTCATCGATTTAAAAATAAAAAGTCAGTCTTGGAATCATTTGTTACATTTTTTATGCCATTTTCCTGTCTCAGAAAACAGAGAAACTTGTTTTCTCTTAAATCTTCTAATAGCCATTCTCTATGTAATCCATCACACACGTGTGACACATGAGAAACAAGTCTCACTAAAACAATTTTGTTTTATAGTACTGCAAGGCACTACGTGATTTATGGTTTAAATAGTGCATATATATATATACACACATACTGTATTGTATATTTTATTATTTGTGTGTATGCTTTTTGTTTTACTTGTGATTTATCCTACAATTAACATTTCCTAATACATGTAGACAAATTCAGTGGTCTTTCTATGAACCTTTTCTGGGTCTAGCAGGATCCCAAACCCCATAATTCATGGTAATATAAATAAGCTCTTCCCAAAATCTGTAGCAAGAAACATTGTTCTTTCATGAAGCTACCAGATCAAAGGAGTCCATACTTAGTATAAAAAATGCTTCATCCTCTACTTCTTTCTTGGAGATTTCAAAGCATATTAAAGTCTCTGAAAATACCAGGAGAAGAGACAATTCTTTACAGAGATGTCCAAATTGTTTTCTCATGTAATTCCTATTAATTGTGGAAGTCGCTTTATAAATATTTTAGGCTGACATACAGCACTTGGTAACCAGTCCAAGTATGAGAGGAGATTTCTTTGTCTGCAGCTGCACAGACTAACAGATTAGACAGACAAATTACAATATAAGGAAGGAATGAAGGAAAGAAGAAAAGTAGGGAAGAAAGAAAGAAAACAGTCAATAATTGGATACATCCCATCAGTATCCTATCAAATGGGGAGTGAGAGAGAATAGTGAAAGGGAGAACACACAAAAGAGTAAAGTCGGCCAGGCACAGTGGTTCACGTCTATAATCCCAGCACTTTGGGAGGTTGAAGCCGGCACATCATCTGAGGCCAGGAGTTCAAGACCAGCCTGGCCAACATGGCAAAACCTCGTCTCTACTAAAACTACAAAAATTAGCTGGGTGTGGTGGCAGGTGCCTGTAATCCCAGCTACTCGGGAGGTTGAGGCAGGAGAATTGCTTGAACCCTGGAGGTGGAGGTTGCAGTGAGCCGAGATCACGCCATTGTACTCCAGCCTTAGGGATAAAGCAAGACTCTGTCTTTTGGGTAGTGTCTTAAAGATGACACAAGATGAAAAAAAAAAGTAAAAGCAATATTAAATATTCATATATTATATGGTGCTTCTCATATAAACTTTCTTTTCTGTATTTCAATAGGACCGCATGGTTATTATTATAGTGCTTATCACCATTACTCATCAATCTTTATTTACCAACATTTATTTTTCTGCATGTAAGCTTCAAGTAGTAATAGCAATATCATATTTATAATTATATCATGGATGACAAGTATTTGCCTAGCACAGAATCGGCAGTCAACAAATAATGTTTAAATCAATGACATTTATAAAAGCACTTAATTGAGTTAAATTTAATAGCAAAGATGCATAAAGAGGTAACTCTACAGACTCAAAATTTTAATAGTAATTAAATAATAGTAATATAATGTACTGGAAGTTTCTTTAAAAGAAAGTGAAAACTATGAATTAAAAAAATAATGATGGTAAATAGTGCAAAATAAATTATAAAACTACAATACTCTGTATTTTGAAAAGTAAATATTCAACAAAGTAAATCTGAAAAAGAATGAAATAACTGCAAATAAAGTGAGAAAGAAGGAAATGCAATAGTAATTTTAGAAGAAATGTTTAATTTATAATACAACAGATGGCATATATTAATCTGAAATTTTTATATGTCAGATAATTTTTATAAAATATTAAAATTCAAGTTACCAAAATTATTACAAAATGAAGTAGAAAAATCAGTAGCTAGAAAACAAGAGAAGTAGTTTACAAATTTGTTAAAGAATGACCCAAGTTCGCTCAAGACTTGTGGATCATAAAGACTAGTTCTTAGAAATATTCAGCAGTGGAAAATTTTCACACAACAGATAATCTAAAACCCAGATCAAATAAACAAACCAATTTAATTTGTAAGAAAAATATGACTCCAATATCAAAATATGCCAGAAAAATGCAAAGAGAAAATTATACATCAATGAATTTGATTTGGAAACCCTCAATTTTTTCTCATTTCTTTTTCTTTCTTTTCTTTTTTTTTTTTTTCTGAAGCAGCATTTCACTGTGTCACTCAGGCTGGAGTGCAGTGGCCTGATTGTAGCTCACTGCACCCTGGATCTCCTAGGCTCGAGTGATGCTCCCACCTCAGCCTCCCTAGAACCTGGGACTAGAAGTACACACCACCATGCCCAGTTAGTTTGTTAATTTTGTTGTAGAGATGTAGTCTCTCTGTGCTGCCCAGGCTCATCTCAAACTCCTAGGCTCAAGTATCCCTTCCAACTCGGCCTCCCAAAGTGCTAGGATGGCAGGTGTGACCCACCATGCCATGGCTTACTAAAACATTTCTACCTTGACCAAACAAGGTTGATTTTTTAAACAACAAAAGAGGAAATTTTTTTATAATAAAACACCAAATCAATCGGTCAAGTCAAAAAAAAAAAGCAAAATGAAATTCATCTCAATAGAAATCAAAAAGCCTTGTTAAATTACAAAACTCTTTCTAATAGGGGATGATATCTTCTTAGAATCAATGTTCAAAATGATACTTAGCAGCAAAACAAGGGTCTTCTTGTAAACATAAGGAATCAATTAAGGATGATTACTGTCATTGTTGCTACCTAATGTTCTTATGAACAATGAAGTTCCTTACGTAATAATAACAAAATAACGATATTATCAGGAATTATTTATTGACTGTCGACTGTTTTCTAATTTTACTTCTTAGACTATTATGTTACTAAAATCCCATGTCTTTATGCCATTATAGATGAGAAATGCAACGATACAGCTTGCTCAGAGTCTGGAAATCCTGGCATCAAACATGAGCTTTGCAGAGGACTTAGTTCTACGACTTTTGGTGAAGGTAAATGAGCAAAACCAGACAATTCATAAGAGAAATAGTAACAAATAAACATTACAAGTAAGCTATGAAAAAAAGTTTATCTTTGCCAATAATCAAAAAATGTACACTAGGGCAACCAGTCTTTTTTTATTTATGAAATTGGCAAAATATAATAAATAGGATAAACACCTGATCCCAGCAAGAATAAGGAAAATGTTTTCTCTTGTATAATGAAGGTGGCAATGAAAATGAGAACAGACCACTTCAGGGAATAAAAATGGCAATATGTGTTTGGAAGCATAGTTTTTTAGTTCTTGACAGGATTAAATAAGTTGTCCATTATAAGAGAAAAAACTATTATATTAAATAGCTTCTCACATATGCGGAATTCAAGTGGTGAAAGATAGGAAGCAATGTACTGTTTTCATAATGGAATGGCTGACTAAGTTACGGTTGATCCACTAAGTTGAATGCTATATGCAACTATTATAATTATATTTTCAAAAACCATGTAGGAATATTGATATACAATAATTTTAACTGAGAAAACAGATGCAAGAAGGAATGAACACTAGGGTTATAACAAAGATATTTGCACATGAAACCTACCATGACATTGGGTATAAAACAATTACCCAATGATGCCCTTAAGCTGTAGCTTCTGGAAAGTGGTACAACGGTGGAATGCAAAAAGCATCAGTGCTTTGCACAATAGGAATCTGTTTTCCTATCAGTCTCTTCCCAGTAATGTAAAGCACTGCTTCCATTGCCAAAGCTTCAGCAGAATGCTGATGATGCCAGAGACAATTCAGAGATGGCGCTCTCTCTTTGAAGAGAGAGATATCTGCAATTTCATCTAGCCATTATCAAGAAGAGCAGGAAGACAGCAGGTTGCAGTGCAAGCTTCAGGGAAACCAAGCATTGCAGGCATGAAAAGAAAGAAGAAAAGAGAGAAAGAGAGAAGGAAGGAAGAAAAGGAAGGAAGGAAGGAAGAAGGGAAGGAGGGATGGAAAGAGAATAAAAGAGGCTGAAGGCTGAGCAAAGATTAAGAGCTGATGAATAAAGACTTGAAGTAAAGACTAGCAGTTCAATGAAAAGTACAGCACCAACAGAGGGCCCAAAAGATCTTCTTTACATCAAAGAAAATAAATCCACATGCAACAAAATTTTGCATTAGTGACTCTAATTATGACTTAATAACAATTCCTTATTGACAATGAGGCTGGGACCTGAGAACAGAGAAAAAATTATCTTTTTATGTCTAACTATAGATAGGTAGAAATGCATCTCTGGGGACATTTCCTAGAGTTAAAAAAAAAGGTGATGTTTTAAATGAAAGTGATTTGAATTGTCTAGATAGGGAAGAACTGGTGTGTGTGTGTGTGTGTGTGTGTGTGTGTGTGTCTTCTTTTTCAGTAGTAGAGCACAAAAGAACAAGATAGCAATTTTATGAAGAATGAGTTTCTGCTTGCACAGGTGGGGAACTAGAGCCATGGTGTTTTATCATGAATATTCACGTGACCCCAGTTTTTAGTCAGAAGGTGATAAAATGTGGGCATATTAATTTCAAAATTTGTAATATAAACATTCCAACATATACAGTTTTTGTTTCAGTTGCCTAATGCTTCGTAATTAATACCCCCAAAATATATTGTCTTAAAACAATAACATTTACTTACTCATAAATCTAAAATTTGAGTAGGGTTTGAGAAAAGCTGGCTCTCATAGGCACCCTGAAGTGACTCTACATCTGAGGACTCTGAACATCTGAAAGTCTGTTTATTCATATAGTTGGTGAAGTAGTAGTTGGTAGTTGGGGAAGGCTGCAGCTCTTAATTTTCTCTCCACATGGCATCTCAATGTGATTTCTCCACATAGGCTAGTTTGAACTTCCACCTAGCATAGTATCTAACTTTGACCAAAGAATGAGTGTTCCAGAGAGAAAAAGAGAAACAGAAAGAGAGAGAAAGGGAGGGAAGGAGAGAGAAAGAGAGAGAGAGAAGGGAGAAAGTAGGTAGAAGTCATTGCCGTTTGTGACCTAGCCTGGGAAATAGTCACATTGTCATTATTAATTCTATTAAGCAAAGTGGTTATGAAAGTACCCCTGCTTCCAGTAAATGGCACATAAGCTCATCTCTTGATGAAAGAGTTTCAATGTCACACTGTAAGAAGAACGTGTGGAATCAAATAAATGTTGATGCTTCTATCTTTGGAAAATACTATCTACCACAATCCATTCTCTGACCACGATAATCCTACCTCTTCATATAAAAAAAAAAATACTCATTTGTCTCCCCCAAAACCTTGAGTCTCATCTCAAAGATGCATCACTTCAAAATCCAGGTTCTTAGCATTCAAATCATGCCCAGCTGCCATGAAGTCTCCTTAGGTGAAAATCCTCAAGGATAGCTCTTCAAATACAGTTTCTTTACATCTGACGACTTGCGAACTAAAAAGGCAAGTTATATGCCCCTTGCAAGCCCAGCATACAATGGTAACAGGCATTGGTTAACTGCTATGGACCTTCCTGTTCAAAGAAGAGAAAATGGGACACATTCATTAGTTACTGCTCCATAGTACTTCTGAAATTCAGCTAGAAAATGATGCTGGTTACTGGGTAAGAACTCAGTCTAATGCCTGCAATGGTTCACTATGGTTCTCATTTCCACCCATTTACCTCTTAGCCTTACTCCGTGAGTCATCCTATTTTTCCATTCGAAATGGCTGGTATTTGTAGCTGTGCAGTTTTCTCAGAATGCTTTCTCATAGTAGTAATTTGGAGATACCAAGACCTATTTTAATTTTGTATTGTCTTTATCTGTTTGTTTAAACTGATGTAATTCTTTTTAACTTTGAGGGGTTTTTATGAATTAGTTTATAATCCATTCTAATTGACAAAGATCCAAATTTATGAATCTATTCAAGAAAATATTTTCTGTACTTGAGACTTTCTATCTAAATCAGCTGTGGGGCATGACCTTTTCAGGGCCTTTTGTTGAATAAAAAAGATCCAGAAGGCATACTATTGGTCTGACTAAATGACTCTCTGAGAAACTACCTTAGATTTTTCTGAAGTCTTAATAATGCATCTTATAGTCTCCTCTGGATTTTATCTTTGCTCTAGAACCCTTTCTTAATTTTGGAACGAGGAAGATGGAAATGAGAAACAGTTTTATTTTCAAACCCATTAAGTACTGACTCTTTTTTATTTAACAGTTATTTCTTTAGCTTGAATCTCTCTTCTTACATTTTATTATAAGCAAGTAAAAATATAACCAGGTAACAACTTCAACACTTTGCCTGGAAGTCTTTGCAGCTAGACCCCCAGTTCATGAGACATTTTCTATTTGCCACATTATGACACATGGCACATTTGCTAAACTCCCTGAAATCACTTAATTTCCCTCAGTTTCCAAGAACATTTTTTCACTTTTCTTTACACCATAACTGATAGATTCCAAAAGGGCCATTAGATTTCCTCTACATCCTTTCAACTACTACCTGCTACTTAGTCACAAACCTACTACCACAATTTCATGTCTTTCAATATCCAGATACCAATATTGGTACCAATTAGCTAATGCTGCATCACAAACCAGTGCAAAACTTACAGGCTTAAAACAACAACATTTAAATGTTTCATGAATCTGCACTTTCTCCAGGGTTCAACAAAGGAAGGCTGCCGCCTTCCCTGAGTGTCTGGAGGCCTGGAGGGTGGGGCCTACTACATGCTTGTTTACTCGTATGTCTAGCATTTGATGTTGGTTGTCAGCCAGGGCCTCGGTTTCTCTAGGTGGTCTCTTACAACATGGTGGCTTGCTTCCCTCAGAACAAGCATTCCCGGGGGAGAGAGCGTGCCAGGCAGAAACTGTGTTGCCTTTTATGACCTATCCTTGATTGGCATGCATTATCACTTCCACCAATTCTGTTGTTTGTATTCTATACTACCCAGGTTCAATGGAAAGGAGGATAGATCAAACTTGTCAATTCAGGAGTGACAACCCCTCATTGTAAGAGGAATAGGTAGGGTGGGATATATACTGTTATGGCTATATTTGGGAAATATAACATGGTAAGTTCTTACTATAGAGTAGAGGCTCAGTCATGCTGAATGCATCATTTTGTTTTTTAAAAAATATAATATGTTGTTATTATAATAATTCCTAAACCTAGAGGACCCAACTACATAAAATCAAGATTTTAATTAAGTCAATATCTGTACTGAATGCTTAACCAGACCTGATTTTTTGAACTATTTGAAACCAAAAATAAAGTTTGGAGGAAGTTTTCATCAAAATTATCATAGAAAAATGCATTATCCAGGCTAACAACTGTTCCCTCTTCTCTGTTTATTACCCCCTCAAAACAATGATGAATCTCTTTCATCTCCATGTCTTTATTATATGTCTACATTATATAACTTTGCACCATCAGGCAGTTTTGGCTTGTCCAATGGACACCAATCTAAGATGTGCTGATCAAATTGTGAGTTAAGCCATATTTATGTCAACAATCTGGAGAGAAGTTTAATAAACCCCTGATATCAAAGTCTTTGGGTTACATAAATTCTAGTTGATTTCCAGCTTGATGTTTATTGATTCACTACTTTCTTTGATCCCATGAGACAGTCCAGTATAATTCCAGAAATTCCCATTTATACTTAAACTATTTAGAATTGCCTAATGTTACCTGAAACAGAATAATCTTTATATATGTAATGTGTGCCTGTGTGTACTATATATGTAATACTATAAATTATTATATAATAGTTATACGTACATAGATTACATAGTCATGTACCATATAATGACATTTTGGTCACTGATGGACTTCCTATACAATGATGCTCCCATAAGATTATAGTGTAGCTGAAAAATTCCTATTGCCTACTATTCACTATATTACACTTTTAGTTGTTATTTTAGTGTGCTCTTTCTTTCTACTTATATATTCTTAAAAGTTAACTATAAGCTTGTAATCCCAGCAGTTTGGGAGGCCAAGGCAGGCAGATTGCTTAAGCCCAGTTCAAGACCAGCCTGGGAAATATGGTGAAACTCCGCCTCTACAACAACAACAAAAAATTAGCCAGGCATAGTGGTGTGCACCTGTTGTCCCAGCTACTTGGGAGGCTGAGGCTGGAGGATCAATTGAGCCCAACAGGTCGAGGTGGCGGGAAGCTGAGATCACACCACTGCACTCCAGCCTCAGCAACAAACTGGGTGACAAAGTGAGACCCTGTCTCAAAAAAAAAAAAAAAAAAAAGAAAAAGAAAAAAAAAACCTTAATATAAAACAGCTTCAATAAGGTCCTTCAGGAGGCATTTGAGAAGGCATTGTTGTAATAGAAGATGACAGCTCCATGCTTGTTATTGCCCCTGAAGACTTTGTAGTGGAACAAGATGTGGAGGTGGAAGGCAGTGATATTGATGATCCTGATTCTGTGTAAGCCTAGGTTGATAGATAGACTGGATTAAGAAAATGTGGAACATATACACCATGGAATACTATGCAGCCATAAAAAACGATGAGCTCATGTCCTTTGTAGGGACATGGATGAAGCTGGAAACCATCACTCTCAGCAAACTATCGCAAGGACAAAAAACAAAACACTGCATGTTCTCACTCATAGGTGGGAATTGAACAATGAGAACACATGGACACAGGAAGAGGAAAATCACACACTAGGGACTGTTGTGGGGTGGGGGGAGGGGGAGGGATAGCATTACGAGATACACCTAATGCTAAATGACGAGTTAATGGGTGCAGCACACCAACACGGCACATGTATACATATGTAACAAACCTGCACGTCGTGCACATGTATGCTAAAACTTAAAGTATAATAATAATAAAATTAAAAAAAATTCTAACAAAAAAGTTTTTAAAGGTAAAAAACTAAAAAAAAAATTTAAAATAAAAAATGCTTACAGAATAAGAATATGAAAAATAAAATATATTTGTGCAACTGAACAATGTGTGTTTTAGGCTGTGTTATTATAAAAGAGTCAAAAAGTTAAAAAAATTAAAAAGTTGGTAAGATTAAAAAGTTACAGTAAACTAAGGCTAATTTATTATTGACAAAAGAATTTTTTAAACATAAATTTAGTGTGACCTAAGTTTAGAGTATTTATGAACTGCAGTTACATGCTAGGCCTTGACATTCACTCCACACACTTTCTGACTCATCTAGAGCAGATTTCATTTCTGCAAGGTTTATTCTTAGTAAGTGCCCTATAGAAGAGTACCATTTTAAATTTTTTATACCTTGTTTATGGTATCTTTTAGATATATTTAGATACACAAATATTTACCAATGGTTACAATTGCCTAGAGTATTCAGCACAGTAACATCCTGTACAGGATGGTGTCCTATGAGCAACAGACTATATGCCATATAGTCTAGGTATGTGGTAGGTTAAACCATCTACATGTATGTAACTATACTGTATGATGTTTGCACAACTACAGAATCACCTAACCATTTCTCTGAATGTATTCTTGTCATTTAAGTGACATACAGTTGTGTACGTGCACATATGTACACACACACATATATCTCTATATATGGAGAGAGAAAAAACAAGTAAAAATATAAATGTATAGGCCGGGCATGATGGCTAATGCCTGTAATCCCAGCACTTTGGGAGGCTGAGGCAGGTGGATCACAAGGTCAGGAGCTTAAGACCAGCCTGGCCAAGATGATGAACCCCATCTCTACTAAAAATACAAAATCTAGCTGGGCGTGGTGGTGGGCACCTGTGATCCCAGCTCCTTGGGAGGCTGAGGCAGAGAATTGCTTGAACCCAGGAGGTGGAGATTGCAGTGAGCCGAGATTGTATCACTGCACTCCAGCCTGGGCGACAGAGTGAGACTTCATCTCAAAAAAATATATATATATATTTTATATATATATATATATATATATATATATATATATGTATATGTATGTGTGTGTGTGTATATATATATATACACACACATATATATACATATATATGTCAGAAAAAATACATGTGCAAGGGTCTTTATTATTGTTTGAAGGCCATGGGGTTAGCAAATTAACTTACTTCCTATCAAAGTTGACGTTCTTGCTATAACATTAGATATGAAATCAGAACTAGAAGGGCTTTAAATGCATTCATACTTCAATTGCTATTGAGTGAAGAAAGGTTGAATTGTGCATTTTTCTTGGCAACTGCATTCATCTCCAGGGAAGCTTTCTCTATCTTTTCTCAGTCATGTTTAAAATCAAGGCTGTGCCACTCCTACTTAAATAAACACCATCATCAAAAGATGCCATATTTCCCGCTCCGATTCTTTTTCATGATCATGGGCACTTGAAAGGTCCACTGTACATGTTTGAGGTTCATCTTTTATGGAGAATGACAACATTGCAGCAAATTTATTTTGCTTTTTAAATTGACATAATTGTGTAGTAGCAAAGAGAGCATGTATTTTGGAATTAGATCAAGGTTACAATGTGAACCAGCTTTGTAACCTTAATCAAAGTCATTAAATTTTGTAAGCTTCATATATAATCTGAAGATATCTGTCAATAAAGCAAGGTCAGTGTGTAGATTTAATGCAATAAAATGTGAAATAATCCACGGACTACCATTTACAGAATGATCACTAAAAGCTGCAAAGAAAGAACTCCCCTCCTCCTTTCTTTGCTCTCTTGCTCCATGTATAAAAACATACGAAAATGTGGGAGGAGGAGCCAAGATGGCCGAATAGGAACAGCTCCGGTCTACAGCTCCCAGCGTGAGCGACGCAGAAGACGGGTGATTTCTGCATTTCCATCTGAGGTACCGGGTTCATCTCAATAGGGAGTGCCAGACAGTGGGCGCAGGTCAGTGTGTGTGCGCACCGTGCGCAAGCCGAAGCAGGGCGAGGCATTGCCTCACCTGGGAAGCGCAAGGGGTCAGGGAGTTCCCTTTCCGAGTCAAAGAAAGGGGTGACGGACGTACCTGGAAAATCGGGTCACTCCCACCCGAATATTGCGCTTTTCAGACCGGCTTAAGAAACGGCGCACCACGAGACTATATCCCACACCTGGCTCAGAGGGTCCTACGCCCACGGAATCTCGCTGATTGCTAGCACAGCAGTCTGAGATCAAACTGCAAGGCGGCAACGAGGCTGGGGGAGGGGCGCCCGCCATTGCCCAGGCTTGCTTAGGTAAACAAAGCAGCCGGGAAGCTCGAACTGGGTGGAGCCCACCACAGCTCAAGGAGGCCTGCCTGCCTCTGTAGGCTCCACCTCTGGGGGCAGGGCACAGACAAACAAAAAGACAGCAGTAACCTCTGCAGACTTAAGTGTCCCTGTCTGACAGCTTTGAAGAGAGCAGTGGTTCTCCCAGCACGCAGCTGGAGATCTGAGAACGGGCAGACTGCCTCCTCAAGTGGGTCCCTGACCCCTGACCCCCGAGCAGCCTAACTGGGAGGCACCCCCCAGCAGGGGCACACTGACACCTCACACGGCAGGGTATTCCAACAGACCTGCAGCTGAGGGTCCTGTCTGTTAGAAGGAAAACTAACAACCAGAAAGGACATCTACACCGAAAACCCATCTGTACATCACCATCATCAAAGACCAAAAGTAGATAAAACCACAAAGATGGGGAAAAAACAGAACAGAAAAACTGGAAACTCTAAAACGCAGAGCGCCTCTCCTCCTCCAAAGGAACGCAGTTCCTCACTAGCAACAGAACAAAGCTGGATGGAGAATGATTTTGACGAGCTGAGAGAAGAAGGCTTCAGACGATCAAATTACTCTGAGCTACGGGAGGACATTCAAACCAAAGGCAAAGAAGTTGAAAACTTTGAAAAAAATTTAGAAGAATGTATAACTAGAATAACCAATACAGAGAAGTGCTTAAAGGAGCTGATGGAGCTGAAAACCAAGGCTCGAGAACTACGTGAAGAATGCAGAAGCCTCAGGAGCCGATGCGATCAACTGGAAGAAAGGGTATCAGCAATGGAAGATGAAATGAATGAAATGAAGTGAGAAGGGAAGTTTAGAGAAAAAAGAATAAAAAGAAATGAGCAAAGCCTCCAAGAAATATGGGACTATGTGAAAAGACCAAATCTACGTCTGATTGGTGTACCTGAAAGTGATGTGGAGAATGGAACCAAGTTGGAAAACACTCTGCAGGATATTATCCAGGAGAACTTCCCCAATCTAGCAAGGCAGGCCAACGTTCAGATTCAGGAAATACAGAGAACGCCACAAAGATACTCCTCGAGAAGAGCAACTCCAAGACACATAATTGTCAGATTCACCAAAGTTGAAATGAAGGAAAAAATGTTAAGGGCAGCCAGAGAGAAAGGTCGGGTTACCCTCAAAGGAAAGCCCATCAGACTAACAGCGGATCTCTCGGCAGAAACCCTACAAGCCAGAAGAGAGTGGGGGCCAATATTCAACATTCTTAAAGAAAAGAATTTTCAACCCAGAATTTCATATCCAGCCAAACTAAGCTTCATAAGTGAAGGAGAAATAAAATACTTTATAGACAAGCAAATGCTGAGAGATTTTGTCACCACCAGGCCTGCCCTAAAAGAGCTCCTGAAGGAAGCACTAAACATGGAAAGGAACAACTGGTACCAGCCGCTGCAAAATCATGCCAAAATGTAAAGACCATCGAGACTAGGAAGAAACTGCATCAACTAATGAGCAAAATCACCAGCTAACATCATAATGACAGGATCAAATTCACACATAACAATATTAACTTTAAATATAAATGGACTAAATTCTGCAATTAAAAGACACAGACTGGCAAGTTGGATAAAGAGTCAAGACCCATCAGTGTGCTGTATTCAGGAAACCCATCTCACGTGCAGAGACACACATAGGCTCAAAATAAAAGGATGGAGGAAGATCTACCAAGCAAATGGAAAACAAAAAAAGGCAGGGGTTGCAATCCTAGTCTCTGATAAAACAGACTTCAAACCAACAAAGATCAAAAGAGACAAAGAAGGCCATTACATAATGGTAAAGGGATCAATTCAACAAGAGGAGCTAACTATCCTAAATATTTATGCACCCAATACAGGAGCACCCAGATTCATAAAGCAAGTCCTGAGTGACCTACAAAGAGACTTAGACTCCCACACATTAATAATGGGAGACTTTAACACCCCACTGTCAACATTAGACAGATCAACGAGACAGAAAGTCAACAAGGATACCCAGGAATTGAACTCAGCTCTGCACCAAGCAGACCTAATAGACATCTACAGAACTCTCCACCCCAAATCAACAGAATATACATTTTTTTCAGCACCACACCACACCTATTCCAAAATTGACCACATAGTTGGAAGTAAAGCTCTCCTCAGCAAATGTAAAAGAACAGAAATTATAACAAACTATCTCTCAGACCACAGTGCAATCAAACTAGAACTCAGGATTAAGAATCTCACTCAAAGCCGCTCAACTACATGGAAACTGAACAACCTGCTCCTGAATGACTACTGGGTACATAACGAAATGAAGGCAGAAATAAAGATGTTCTTTGAAACCAACGAGAACAAAGACACCACATACCAGAATCTCTGGGACGCATTCAAAGCAGTGTGTAGAGGGAAATTTATAGCACTAAATGCCTACAAGAGAAAGCAGGAAAGATCCAAAATTGACACCCTAACGTCACAATTAAAAGAACTAGAAAAGCAAGAGCAAACACATTCAAAAGCTAGCAGAAGGCAAGAAATAACTAAAATCAGAGCAGAACTGAAGGAAATAGAGACACAAAAAACCCTTCAAAAAATCAATGAATCCAGGAGCTGGTTTTTTGAAAGGATCAACAAAATTGATAGACCGCTAGCAAGACTAATAAAGAAAAAAAGAGAGAAGAATCAAATAGACACAATAAAAAATGATAAAGGGGATATCACCACCGATCCCACAGAAATACAAACTACCATCAGAGAATACTACAAACACCTCTACGCAAATAAACTAGAAAATCTAGAAGAAATGGATACATTCCTCAACACATACACTCTCCCAAGACTAAACCAGGAAGAAGTTGAATCTCTGAATAGACCAATAACAGGCTCTGAAATTGTGGCAATAATCAATAGTTTACCAACCAAAAAGAGTCCAGGACCAGATGGATTCACAGCCGAATTCTACCAGAGGTACAAGGAGGAACTGGTACCATTCCTTCTGAAACTATTCCAATCAATAGAAAAAGAGGGAATCCTCCCTAACTCATTTTATGAGGCCAGCATCATTCTGATACCAAAGCCGGGCAGAGACACAACCAAAAAAGAGAATTTTAGACCAATATCCTTGATGAACATTGATGCAAAAATCCTCAATAAAATACTGGCAAACCGAATCCAGCAGCACATCAAAAAGCTTATCCACCATGATCAAGTGGGCTTCATCCCTGGGATGCAAGGCTGGTTCAATATACGCAAATCAATAAATGTAATCCAGCATATAAACAGAGCCAAAGACAAAAACCACATGATTATCTCAATAGATGCAGAAAAAGCCTTTGACAAAATTCAACAACCCTTCATGCTAAAAACTCTCAATAAATTAGGTATTGATGGGACGTATTTCAAAATAATAAGAGCTATCTATGACAAACCCACAGCCAATATCATACTGAATGGGCAAAAACTGGAAGCATTCCCTTTGAAAACTGGCACAAGACAGGGATGCCCTCTCTCACCGCTCCTATTCAACATAGTGTTGGAAGTTCTGGCCAGGGCAATCAGGCAGGAGAAGGAAATAAAGGGTATTCAATTAGGAAAAGAGGAAGTCAAATTGTCCCTGTTTGCAGACGACATGATTGTTTATCTAGAAAACCCCATCATCTCAGCCCAAAATCTCCTTAAGCTGATAAGCAACTTCAGCAAAGTCTCAGGATACAAAATCAATGTACAAAAATCACAAGCATTCTTATACACCAACAACAGACAAACAGAGAGCCAAATCATGGGTGAACTCCCATTCACAATTGCTTCAAAGAGAATAAAATACTTAGGAATCCAACTTACAAGGGATGTGAAGGACCTCTTCAAGGAGAACTACAAACCACTGCTCAAGGAAATAAAAGAGGACACAAACAAATGGAAGAACATTCCATGCTCATGGGTAGGAAGAATCAATATCGTGAAAATGGCCATACTGCCCAAGGTAATTTACAGATTCAATGCCATCCCCATCAAGCTACCAATGACTTTCTTCACAGAATTGGAAAAAACTACTTTAAAGTTCATATGGAACCAAAAAAGAGCCCGCATTGCCAAGTCAATCCTAAACCAAAAGAACAAAGCTGGAGGCATCACACTACCTGACTTCAAACTATACTACAAGGCTACAGTAACCAAAACAGCATGGTACTGGTACCAAAACAGAGATATAGATCAATGGAACAGAACAGAGCCCTCAGAAATAATGCCGCATATCTACAACTATCTGATCTTTGACAAACCTGAGAAAAACAAGCAATGGGGAAAGGATTCCCTATTTAATAAATGGTGCTGGGAAAACTGGCTAGCCATATGTAGAAAGCTGAAACTGGATCCCTTCCTTACACCTTATACAAAAATCAATTCAAGATGGATTAAAGACTTAAATGTTAGACCTAAAACCATAAAAACCCTAGAAGAAAACCTAGGCATTACCATTCAGGACATAGGCGTGGGCAAGGACTTCATGTCCAAAACACCAAAAGCAATGGCAACAAAAACCAAAATTGACAAATGGGATCTAATTAAACTAAAGAGCTTCTTCACAGCAAAAGAAACTACCATCAGAGTGAACAGGCAACCTACAACATGGGAGAAAATTTTTGCAACCTACTCATCTGACAAAGGGCTAATATCCAGAATCTACAATGAACTCAAACAAATTTACAAGAAAAAAACAAACAACCCCATCAAAAAGTGGGCGAAGGACATGAACAGACACTTCTCAAAAGAAGACATTTATGCAGCCAAAAAACACATGAAAAAATGCTCATCATCACTGGCCATCAGAGAAATGCAAATCAAAACCACTATGAGATATCATCTCACACCAGTTAGAATGGCAATCATTAAAAAGTCAGGAAACAACAGGTGCTGGAGAGGATGTGGAGAAATAGGAACACTTTTACACTGTTGGTGGGACTGTAAACTAGTTCAACCATTGTGGAAGTCAGTGTGGCGATTCCTCAGGGATCTAGAACTAGAAATACCATTTGACCCAGCCATCCCATTACTGGGTATATACCCAAAGGACTATAAATCATGCTGCTATAAAGACACATGCACACGTATGTTTATTGCGGCACTATTCACAATAGCAAAGACTTGGAACCAACCCAAATGTCCAACAATGATAGTCTGGATTAAGAAAATGTGGCACATATACACCATGGAATACTATGCAGCCATAAAAAATGATGAGTTCATATCCTTTGTAGGGACATGGATGAAATTGGAAACCATCATTCTCAGTAAACTATCGCAAGAACAAAAAACCAAACACCGCATATTCTCACTCATAGGTGGGAATTGAACAATGAGATCACATGGACACAGGAAGGGGAATATCACACTCTGGGGACTGTGGTGGGGTCGGGGGAGGGGGGAGGGATAGCATTGGGAGATATACCTAATGCTAGATGACACATTAGTGGGTGCAGCGCACCAGCATGGCACATGTATACATATGTAACTAACCTGCACAATGTGCACATGTACCCTAAAACTGAGAGTATAATAAAAAAAAAAAAAAGAAAAAAAAAATAAAGAAAATGTGGTATAAATACACAATCAAATACTAAAAAAAAAAAAAAAAAAAAAAAAAAAAAAAAAAAAAAAAAAAAAAAAAAACATATGAATGACTTTTGGCTTGCTTCCTTGAGGGGAAGGTGAGATGGGTTGGTAAACAGATAATATAATCTAAGAAATTATTTCATGGAGAAATGAACAAAAATCTTATAAACCCATAGTGGAGAACATTTTAATTAAACAAAGTACTACCCCAAAAAATGTCCATTTACGTTAAAGTTCATAGAATACATAGGAGCTAGCTTCAACCCAACTCTTAATCCCTGCATGCATCAAGGATTTGGGGAGGCCTCACAGCAGTGCTCTCTACTTCATTAGGAAGGGAAAGCTGGGCTGGGTCCTGTGGCTTACACCTGTAATCCCAGCACTCTGGGAGGCTGAACCGGGTGGATCACAAAGTCAAGAGATCGAGACCATCCTGGCCAACATGGTGAAACCCTGTCTCTACCAAAAATACAAAAATTAGCTGGGCGTGGTGTTGTGTGCCTGTAGTCCCAGCTACTTGGGAGGCTGAGGCAGAAGAACTGCTTGAACCCAGGAGGTGGAGGTTGCAGTGAGCCGATATCTCGCCACTGCACTGCCTGGCGACAGAACGAGACTCTGTCTCAAAAAAAAAAAAAAAAAAGAAAGAGAAAGCTAAGCAACCTTCTTTAAGACAAAACAAAATGGAAAGAAAAAGGTTCAGTAGCAGTTAACTTTGCTGCTACTGTAGCATGCCTTTCAGAAGTAAAGCATATTTAATTTATACACATCTCTATTTTTATTCCAGGAAGACAGATTGTCATACCATCTTTCTACTTGTAGGGCACCCAAAGGGTTTTGTTTATAAAAATCAATAAGTCCAGGGCTCTTTGTTTTTTGTAAGCCAACCTATTTTATCTTTCACCTGTCTGCTGAAGGAAGCCATGTATCTTCCAGCAAGCAGTTGGATTTTGTCAATTCTTTGTGGTCCATTATCAGCCAGCCAAGATTCAAGGTCACTCACTTTAGATGTTTGCTTCCTGGCAGAGGGCCCTTGTCCTGATGAAGGCCCTTAAAGTTGGTAAATGAGCATAAACTATTTTGGGCTTTATGAAATGCAATTCATCACCCTGCCCAGTGCTCCTCGTCTAGTCTTGCTTTGTGTCTGATCACTTGGCATTTTTAGCAGGTGAATGGTGCTTTCATGGAGCTCCTAATTTTCTCTGCACCTTCTCTGAAAGGGCTAGGGTAGTTCAGTGTGTTAGATCTATGAGGTAAGGTTATTCAGATTGTCAGGATTATTCACTGTAAAGAAGACAATTTCTGCCAAAGATTATGTAATCTAGTCACTTCTCCAAATGTCAGGGTACTAAAAATAACCCCCAGTTGGTTTCCTAATTCAAATACATTGACAAATTTTACAAACATATATTTAAGAATTCTCTGGGGGCCAGGGTGCGGTGGCTCTCGCCTGTAATACCAGCACTTTGAGAGGCCGAGGAAGGCAGATCACGAGGTCAAGGGATGAAGACCATCCTGGCCAACATGGTGAAACCCTGTCTCTACTAAAAATACAAAAATAACTGGGCGTGGTGGTTGCGCGCGCCTGGAGTCCCCACTACTCGGGAGGCTGAGGCAGGAGAACCGCTTGAACCCGGGAGGCGGAGGTTGCAGCACTGCACTCCAGCCTGGTGACAGAGCGAGACTCTGTCTAAAAAAAAAAAGAATTCTATGGGGTTTTGGATAACTTAAGGTTTTACCTTTTTATGTTATTATTTTGGGCTATTATCTTTATTAATTTCTCCTTTCTTTTCTTTTTTTTTTTTTTGAGACAGAGTCTCACTCTGTCACCCAGGTTGGAGTGCAGTGGCACGATGTCAGCTCACTGCAACCTCCGCCTCCCGGGTTCAAGCGATTCTCCTGCCTCAGCCTCCCCAGTAGCTGAGATTACAGGAACGCACCACCACGCCTGGCTAATTTTTGTATTTTTAGTAGAGACAGGGTTTCACCATGTTGGCCAGGCTGGTCTCAAACTCCTGGCCTCAGGTGATCCGCCCGCCTCAGCCTCCCAAAGTGCTGCGATTACAGGTGTGAGCCACTGCGCCCGGCCTAATTTCTTCTTTCTATTTTTCTTTAATCACTGACTTGTCCTGTTCCAGGTTTTTAAATCAAAAACTAAGTTCATTTATTTACAAAATTTCTAATTTTTTAATTTCTAAGTTCATTAATAGTCAATGCTTATTATTGTATTAGCAAGGAATGTCCAGAGAAAAATAACCAATAGAAGACTGGGGAAAAAAGAGAGAGAGGATTCATTAGAAGGTATATTGGGTTAAATGGTTATGAAGGCTGAGAAGTCCCACAGTCGGCTGTCTTTAAGCTGGAGACAGAGGAAAGACTATAGTGTGGTTTGAAGGCCTGAGATCCAGATGCAACTCCTTGACCTTGGACTTCTAAGCCTCCATAACTATGAGAAATGAATTCCTTTTTTTTTAAATATATATTACTCAGTTCCAAGTATTCTGTTAAACGCAACAGAAAACAGACTAAGCCACAGTCTGTGTCTGAAGGCCTGAGAACCGAGAAAGCCAAAGGCAGGAGATCAAAGTCCCAACTGAAGCCATCAGGCAGAGGGTGAATTCAACTCTACCTTTTTGTTCTATTCAGGCCCTCAGAGAATGAAATGATTCCCACTCACAGTGAGCGGGGCGGGGTAGGCATCTGCTTTACTCAGTCCACCAATTCAAATGCTCATCTCTTCCAGAAACACCATTACAGACACACCCGGAAATAATGTTTAACCAGCTATCTTGGCATCCCATTGCTCAGGCAAGTTGACACAGAAAATTAAGCACCACAATTGTTTTTTATATCTAACTGATACCTTTGCTATCAATTTTAACAGCAAATTTCCATTTTAATGTTTTATCTAACTCAATAGTTGTTTATAAATGTATGTTTTATATATGCATAGATTTTACATTTTAGTATTTTTTTTGCTCCTAATTTGTTAATTCTTAATTGTATTTTGTTTAATGGATATAGATTACATAAAATCAGCTTTTTATACGTTGTTCAGATTTCCCTTGGTTCCTAGTTCATAATCATTATTTGTGAATGTTTTGTATATATTATTTAAAAAGTATAGTTTTGTTAAATTTAAAGGAATACATATTTATTTGCTCAAATAAATAATTCACATTCACAAAAAAAATGCAACTTCTATTGAATTTAAATTCTACTTGTTCAAACATTTTATTATTCAATATACCTGTACTTATTTTGGTCTACTTATCTGTTCTGTCACTTTTGAGAGAGGTGTAATAAACTCTCTCACTAGTTTTGTAGCTTTGTCAATTTGTCTTCCACAGCTAATCATTTTTTTCTGTATGTATTTTAAGCTATGTTTCTGAATGCATAAGTATTATTGACTAAAATATTTTCATGGTGAATTATTCATTTCATCAATATGAAAAATTGTATTTTACTTTCATCTTGAATTCCACTTGATCCTGCTTGCTTTATTTTGTTTGTTCTTCAAAAAATGTGCTTTTAGTAGATTAATGTTATCCATTTATATTGACAATCATTATTTTATTTTAAAAATTTCGT
This sequence comes from Homo sapiens, assembly GCF_000001405.40. Lineage (NCBI taxonomy): Eukaryota > Metazoa > Chordata > Mammalia > Primates > Hominidae > Homo > Homo sapiens. Next base: position 85,365,169 of record NC_000010.11, read on the forward strand.
CTTGTTTACTGATTTATTTTTATCCTAAGTCTTCATTACATCTTCCCCCACTTTTTAAGTTCTTATGTTTTTTTAATTTATTTATTACGTTTCCTTCAAGGATTTTGTTGCTGTTGTTTCTCTAATGATCTGGATTTATTTATTTCTATTTTTCAAGTGTTTACACTAAAGATGTTAACATACATACTTAAAATTATATTTGTCAAAGTCTTTCTAGCATTAATCCATATTTGTATCACCCTCCTCCTCTCACTTTTAATTCTTTACCCAACAGAACAAAGAAATAACCCTATTTATCTTTTTGTTCTACTAGACATAAGGTTTTATATGATTTCTAACTATCATGGTATATATAATTTTTAAAAAAATTATTGGTATTGTTTCAGAGTGTATTTTTTTGGTACTCGAGTGTTATTCAGCCTGCTTGGGAGTACTTTGCAGTCTATGCTTTATGTTTTGAGGGGGAGCTAGAAGGTACCACCTCCTCCTGTGTATCTCTGGCATAGTCCCACTATTCTGTCACAAGTGCCCAAACTCACTGCTCCTTCCCTGAGCTACACTGCTTTGTGGCTTTGCACCGGCTATATAGGAGAGATGAACTTGGTACGGATGTCAAAAAGCTGGCCTAATTGTGTATCCTAACTGATCACACTGCTTAGAGATATGGTCCTGTCTTCCAGTGTCTTCCATTTTCAGGCTTGGAAGGCCTCTGAAAACACCTCTACTATTTAAGCAGTCTTGGCCTGTCCTTGTTTTTGCCTGTGGTTTCATTTATTTTCATCTAGAAGTTATCCATTTTACGAATTTCAGGAATTACTCAGTTAACTTGCTTTGTTCAACTTTTATTTTAAATTCAGGGGTACATGTGCAGGTTTGTTACATAGGTAAGCTTGTGTTGTGGGGGTTTGTTGTACTGGTCATTTCATCACCCAGGTATTAAGCCAAGCATCCATTCGTTATTTGTCCTGTTCCTCTCCCTCCTTCCACCTTCCACCCTCTGATAGGCCCCAGTGTGTGGTGTTCCCCCGCAATCCATGTGTCCATGTGTTCTCACCATTTAGCTCCCACTTATAAGTGAAAGCATGTGGTTTCTGTTTTTCCTTTCCTGTGTTACTGTGCTAAGGATAATGGCCTCCAGCTCCATCCATGTCCCTGCAAATGGCATGATCTCATTTTTTTTATGGCTGCTTAGTATTCCGTGGTATGTATGTACCACATTTTCTTTATCCAGTCTATCATTGATAGGCATTCAGGTTGATTTCATGTCTTTGCTATGTGAATAGTGCTGCAATGCACATATGTGTGCATATGTCTTTATAGTAGAATGATTTTTATTCCTTTGGGTATATACCTAGTAATAGGATTGCTAGGTTGAATGGTATCTCTGTCTTTAGTTCTTTGAGGAATCACCACACTGTCTCCCACAATGCTTGAACTAATTTACACTCCCATCAACAGTGTATAAGCATTCCTTTTTCTCCACAACCTTGCCATCATCTGTTATTTTTTAACTTTTACATAACAGCCATTCTGAGTGGTATGAGATGATATCTCACTGTGGTTTTGATTTGTGTTTCTCTAATGATCAGTGACGTTTTGCTTTTTTCATATGATTATTGGATGCATGTATGTTATCTTTTGAAGTGCCTGTTTATGTCCTTTGCCCACTTTTTAATGAGGTTGTTTCTTTTTTTCTTCTTGTAAATTTGTTTCAGTTCCTTACAAATGCTGAATATTAGACCTTTGTCAGATGCATAGTTTGCAAAAATTTTCTCCCATTCTAAAGGTTGTCTGTTTACTCTGTTGATAGTTTACTTTGCTGTGCACAAGCTCTTTGGTTTAATTAGATTCCATTTGTCAAATTTTGTTTTGTTCAATTGCTTTTGGTGTCTTCAACATGAAATTTTTGCCTGTTCCATCTCCTGAATGGTATTATCTAGGTTGTCTTCTAGAGTTTTTATAGTTTTGGATTTTACATATAAGTCTTTAATCTACCTTGAGTTATTAATTTTTGTATATGCTGTAAAGAAGGGGTCCAGTTTTAATCTGCATATGGCTAGTCAGTTTTCCCAACACCATTTATTGAATAAGGAATCCTTTCCCCATTGCTTGTTTTTGTCAGGTTTGTTGAAGATCAGATGTTTGTATGTGTGTGGTCTTATTTCTGGGTTGTCTATTCTCTTCCATTGGTCTATCTGTCTGTTTTTGCACCAGTACCATGCTGTTTTAATTACTGTAGCCCTATGGTACAGTTTGAAGTTGGGTAGAGTGATGCCTCCAGTGTTGTTCTTTTTGCTTAGGAATGTCTTGGCTCTTCAGTCTGTTTTTCATTCCATATGAATTTTAAAATAGCTCTATCTAGTTCTCTGAAGAGTCCCAGTGGGATTTTAATAGGAAATAGCATTGAATATATAAATTGCTTTGGGCAGTTTGGCCATTTTCACAATATTGATTCTTCCTATACATGAGCATGGAACATTTTGCCATTTGTTTCTATCACCTTTGATTTCTTCGAGCACTAGTTTGTAGTTCCCCTTGTTGAGAACTTTTACCTCCTTAGTTAACTGTATTGCAAGATATTTTATCCTTTTTGTGGCAATTGTGAGTGTGCATTATTCATGATTTGGCTCTCAGCTTGATTGTTGTTAGCATATAGGAATGCTACTGATTTTTGCACATTGATTTTATATTCTGAGACTTTGCTGAAGTTGCTTATCAGCTTAAGAAGCTTTTGAGTGGAGACGAAGGTGTTTTCTAGATACAGGATCATTTCTAGATATAGGATCATCAATCATCTGCAGACTAAGATAATTTGACTTCCTCTCTTCCTATTTTAATACCCTTTATTTCTTTCTCTTGTCTGATTGTCCTGGCCAGAACTTCCAATAATATGTTAAATAGGAATGGTGAGAGAGGGCATCCTTGTCTTGTACTGGTTTTAAAGGGGAATGCTTCCAGCTTTTGCCCATTCAGTATGATATTGGCTATGGGTGTGTTACATACAGCTCTTATTATTTTGAAGTTTGTTCATTCAATACCTCGTTTATTGAGAATTTTTAACAGGAATCAGGGTTGAGTTTTATTGAAGGCCTTTTCTGCATCTATTGAGATAATCATGTGGTTTTTGTCTTTTGTTCTGTTTATGTGATGAATCACATTTATTGATTTGCATATATTGAACCAACCTTGCATCCCAGAAATAAAGCTGACTTGATTGTGGTGGATACACTTTTTGATGTGCTGCTGGGTTCAATTCACCAGTATTTTGTTGAGGATTTTTGCATATATGTTCATCAAGGATATTAGCCTGAAGTTTTCTTTTTTTGTTGTGTCTATGCCAGCTTTTTTTTTTTTTTTCCAGTGTTTTGCTCTGTTGCCCAGGCTGGAGTGCAGTGGCACAATCTCGGCTCACTGCAACCTCCGCCTCCTGGGTTCCAGCAATTCTCTGCCTCAGCCTCCCGAGTGGCTGGGATTACAGGCACCCACCACCATGGCCAGCTAATTTTTTTGTATTTTTAGTAGAGATGGGGTTTCACCATCTTGGTCAGTCTGATCTTGAACTCCTGACCTCATGATCCACCCTCCTCGGCCTCCCAAAGTGCTGGTATTACAGGTGTGAGCCACTGCCCCTGGCAACTCTGCCAGGTTTTGGTATCAGAATGATGCTGGCCTCATAGAATGAGTTAGGGAGGAGTTCCTCTTTCTCAAGTTTTTGAAACAGTTTCAAATACAAATGGTACCATTTTGTACATCTGGTAGAATTCAACCACGAATCCATTTGGTTTGGCGCTTTTTTTGGTTGGCAGGCTATTATTACTCTCAATTTCAGAGTTCATTATTGGTCAGTTCAGAGATTCAGTTTCTTTATGGTTCAGTCTTGGGAGGATGTATGTGTCCAGGAATTTATCCATTTCTTCTGTATTTTCTAGTTTATGTTTATAGAGGTGTTTATAATATTCTCTGATGGTTGGTTGTATTTCTGTGGAGTCAGTGGTAGTATTTCCCTTGTCTTTCTGATTGTGCTTATTTGAATCTTCTCTCTTTTCTTCCTTATTAATCTAGCTAGCAGTGCATTTATTGTATTAATTCTTTCAAAATAACAGCTCCTGGATTTGTTGACCTTTTGAATGGTTTTCCGTATCTCAATCTCTTTCAGTTCAGCTCTGATTTTGGTTATTTCTGGTCCTCCATTATCTCTGGGATTTGGTTGCTCTTGGTTTCTAGTTTTTTCGGTTGTGATGTTAGGTTGTTAATTTGAGATGCTTCTAAGTTTTTGATGTGGATTTAGTGCTATGAATTTCCCTCTTAGCTGTGTCCCAGACATTCTGGTATGTTGTATCTTTGTTCTTATTAGTTTCAAAGGGCTTCTTGATGTCTACCTTAATTTCATGATTTACCCAAAAGTCATTCAGAAACAGGTTATGCCATTACCAATGATAACCTTTTGTTTTTGGTGGCTTTTTGTATTTATTCCACTTCATTTTTTCATTTTTTCCTGTTGATGAGTTGTTGTTGCTGTTCTTGCTTAGCTTAGCTGGCTTTTCATTTAATATTGTCTACTATGTGATGCCACTTAGGGCGGGGGTAGGAGAAGTAATTGGCATAAGGCTCATCCTGCCATTTGAAATATGAAAATTTCATATTTTTGCTAGAAAACTATTTATTTCTACTGTATTGTCAAATTCACAGTGTTAAACTTAATACTCATTTATAAATCTAATTTATTTGTATTTGTGCTTAAACCCCCTTTGTCATTCTTAATGTTTTCAGTTCTTTCATTTTCTCTTTTTCTCATAAGGTGAACTTCTTAGCATTGCATTTATTTTACTGTTTTGGAAAGAAAAATGTTTTATTATCCTATTTACCCATTTGGTTGTTTTCTATTCCTTCAGTTTTAGTTCTTAATTTTAATTAATTTCATCCTTTCAGTTCTTCTTAATGTTTCTACATTTAGTAGTCAAATTCTCAATGTATTATTCTATTAGCCTTTTAATAGTAAAAAAAAAAAAGTACTATTGTGAATTTTTTATAGTTACACATTTTGCTTTTACACATATTTTAGCATGTAGTTTTGTCCTTTTCAGATTGATTTTTTTTTTCCTTTTCTGAGACAGGGTCTTGCTTTGTCACCCAGGCTGGAGTGCAGTGGTGCAATCATGGCTCACCGTAGCCTCAACCTCCTGGGCTCAAGCAATCCTTCCACTTCTGCCCCCTAAATAGCTGAGACTATAGGTATGTGCCACCATGCCCAGCTAATTTTTAAAAAAATATTTTAGAGATGGAGTCTCAAATGTGTGTCCCAGGTTGTTCTTGAACTCTTGGGCAATCCTCTTTCCTCAGCCTCTCAAAGTGCTAGGATTACAGGCATGAGCCACCCAGATCAGCCTGAGGTAGTTTTTATTTCAATTTTGATATCCATTTTGCTTCAGAGATTACTTAAGAATGTCTTAATTGTCATGATATTAAGTTTTTGTATAATTCTATGGTTGACATTTTACTTCATATATTTATGAACAATGAAGAGGCTTAATAATATCTCAACTTTTTGAGATAAATCCTTTTATTTGATAGAATCAAATCCTTCTGTTTAATAATCCAAATCCTCATTATCCATGTACATTTATTATTGACATCATGTGTCCTTTCAGAAAAAGAAGTTTTATTAATATCTTCTACTTTAATTTAATGTTATCAAGTTCCATTTTCTGCAGGTTTTTCCTTATTTGGCTCCATTTTGTTTTTGCATAAAGAGATATATTTTAATAATTTTTTGCACATAATATTATTTTTCCTGTATAATGCATTTGGCTTTTTCCATTCACTCCATTTCATCTTATTACATTTGCTTAATTTATATTTGCTAGAATATTTATTTCAAACTTTGCTTTGGTCGTTTTCATTGGGTATTCTACTTGAAAATATCAAACACATTGTGCATGTGTATGTGTATTTATATATTGTATTATGAAAATGAACATCATGAGGGACTATTTTAATCCACCCGTATTTATTGTGTTCACTAAAATATTTGGTTTTTATTATTTTCATCCTAGCTTGTATTTGCTATTTATTGTCTACTCTTTATTGATGCTGTTTGCTTTCTTCTAATCCTTATTTTTGCTGGCCTAGACTATTTTCTCTTTACCACCCACTGTTAATTTTAAAATTCCAGTATCATTTTAAATTGCCTCAAATATTATCTTTTCAACAATAAAAATATTAACTTGCCTCATTTTATCAGTAACTATATTCATATGAAACAATAATTATATATTTCTAATAAATATTTTGCTCACCCATTCTTACTTTTCCCATCTTTATAAAATGAAATCATTCAAAGGCATTTAAATCTCTAACTTCTGATCGTAAAACTTAAAGGTTATTCTAAATAATTTGAAATATTTTATTTATAGGCTATTAAATGTTTTTCCTGATTTTTGTTGTCTATGTCTTATTTACCTTTACTTAAATTTTATAGTAAAAATTATCAGTCATATTATCATTTTCAGTTTATCCTATAAATACATATTTATAAATATGTGTACATAAATGTCTGTGCATGTATTTTAAAATCTTTGCTCATGATTTATTTTTGTTATCTTTTATTTAATATATCTGTTTTAATTTAATTGCCATTTGATAACATCTTATTCATATATCCTTGTGTTTTTCTTTAGATAAAACTGTGTAACATGTCCTATGAATTCTTGAAAGAAACACACACACACACACACACACACACACACACACACACCCCTCCTTGCCCTAACAAACAGACGGTATCTTGGCTAGATAGAAGATTTTTGTCTCACATGTAATTCTATAGTCTACATATGTTCACTTCAGTAATCTGAGATTATCTAATTCTTTTTCTTGTGTAGAAAATCTGTACATTCTGCCTGAAACTTGTAGTAGAAAATTTGTTCTAGTTGATGTTGGTTATTTATTCTAATCTGTCTTTTCCACTTATCATTTTAATATCTCTGATTATTTCTACAGCGGTTTTGCTTAATCTGTCCCGCATATCTCTTTTTGTTTTTGTGAACTTCAGTAATCTTTGGGCATTGAGGTACAACTATTTATTTGATCTTCTGAATTGGGAAACTAGTAAGTTTCTCTGCAGAAATCATTCTGATTTTCAGTTTGTGTTCTAAAATTGTAAAAATTGGACCCTTCTGACCACACAAGCAGAACATTTTGCTGTTGATTTTTTTCAGATGTGGATGGGGGAAGTTGAGGGATTTGGGGATTTTTTTTTTCAACTTGTCTTATAATATTCCTTTCTGCTTTTGCCTTTTTTGGTCAACACATATTTTAAAAAGTCAGATATCTCACCTTTTCAGATCCCATCAATGGCTCCATAGAATGAGTTCATATCCTGTTTGCTTATATCACTTTAGACCTACTTATGCTAAAGGAGTGCCTATCTTCTTTCTAGCTTTAGGATACGTATAAAGACTTTGTTTACTAAATCTCCCTTGTCAATTTTGAGTTTCTCATCCCCCTTTGATTACATACTGGAAACAATCTCATTCCACAAATAAATATGTGGTACTATGTTAAAATGTTTTTGTAATATTATCTTATTTAAAGTATGGTTGCTGTAACTTTACATTTGTATATTATTGACTGATATTTGGACAAATTAGTTCAAATGCACATGTATTTAAACAAACAGAACTCAGAAATCCCCTTTCTTTGCACTGCTCATATGCACAGATAATTGTTCATTGCATCTATCAAAGCTGTAATATTAACTGTAATACACAGCATCAGTCAATTTTGTTCAATTAAAAAGTTGAGTTATCTATCTTGAGTGACTAGGTAGCCAGTTTAATCAATCACAAAAACTGTTTATAAATAAGAGAGAATCCTTCCAGGAAAACAGGAAATATAAAAACTGCAAAGAAGTTATGTAATTATTTTACTGATACAATTTCTTTTCCTCCGATCTTTCTCGGAGCACCACCTCTAACCCTAGCCCAGGTCTCTCAACCTCATGTGCCAGTGCATGCTTCATTTGGTATTGCTCACACAGAACAGGGGCTTTCTCTCTATAAGCCATGGTGGCCAATCTAAGAAAGAACAAACTGCTCATTTATGTACTTTCATTTCATATCCTTTATTTTATTTAGACATTTCAGGCTTTGTTTGCTAATCAAAGTCTAGTTTTGCTTGAAGAATTGAATCACAATAGATGGATACTGTGAACACAGTTCAAATTTGTAGAATACACTTCAGATACTAGATAAAGGCAAAGAGTGATCCCCTATGGCCCCTATAAAGAAAGACATGGAAAGCCAGACCTTGCATCAAGCCTCATTTTCAATATGAAGATGTGACAAAAGAAATGGAGTGATAGTGGGGTTTGAAGTCTGAGCCATCCAGGAATCAGAGAGATCCCTATCACAGTACCAGGACTTCTGTAGGCAAAACAATGCCCTCATAAAGGTGTCCACATACTAATCCCTGGAATCCTTGAATATTGTAGGTTACATGGGGCAGGTGTGGGGAACTAAAGTTGCAGATGGAATTAGAGTGCCCATAAGCTGCCCTTGAGGTGGGAAAATTATCCCAGATTGTCCAGATGGGCTTGTGACTATAGGTCATGAGGCAGAGGCAGACATGAGCATGGCAGGAGAGCTCCCCTTCTCCCCACCAAAGTATGCCAGGTGAGCATCAGGTGATGTTCAGGTGGTTGTTAAACTGCCACTTTAAAATAATAATTGGTTACAGTTAGCACCAGGGAAAGGCAGTCTCCCAGTAGATAGAAATACCTAAACCTGGTGATCAGCAGCTTCCCAGTAAGATTTCAGGAGTTGGGTGAGTGGGCTCAAGCATGTGCCCTAAGAGGCAAAATGGCACAGTTTAACTGGTATATAATCTACTAGGGACACTCAACCAGTATGGAAAAAATGCCTCAAGTGAACATGTACACTTCAGTAAACACATTACTCATGCTTCCCCCGGCCCCCACCAAGTGCAGGCAGGCCACTGCACATGCAGACATCCCACCCCAAGGGAAGAATCAGGGGAGTAGAGATGCAGACTCTGGAATAATGCCGATGCATAAAACCCCAAGTCAAAGGTCAAACCACACACTTGACTCTCTCAAGTTGCCCGCTTGGCCCTCTTCCAAGTGTACCTTACTTCCTTTCATTCCTGCTCTAAACTTTTTAATAAAGTTTCAATCCTGCTGTAAAACTTGCCTCAGTCTCTCCCTCCACCTTATTACCCTTGGTTGAATTCTCCCCTCTGAGGAGGCAAGAATTGAACTTGCTGCAGACCTGTACAGATTTGCAGCTGCTAACATATTTTGGTGCCATGTGACTCAGATACATTCCCTGATGGTTACAAGCTCAGTGTAATTACAAGTGTCTTTATAAGTGGAAGAAGTGAGCAGGGGAGAGAGAGATGAAAATGTGCCATTGGAAGCAGAAATTGGTCATTTAATGTAAGAAAGTCTCAATCTGCCTATGTTGTCTTTAATGATGTAGGAAGCAGATTGTGAACCAAGGATTGTGGGCAACCTGCAGAAGCTGAAGATCAAGGGAACAAATTCTCCTTTAGAGGCTCCAGAAAGGAGCATAGTCCTGTTGACACTTTGGTTTTAGCCTAGTGAGACCAATTTTAACCTCTTACCTCAAAAACAGTATTGTTGTTTAACCACCAAGTTTGTGGTAACTTGTTACAGCAGCCATGTGAGACTAATACAAGGTTGGAATCACTTTCAGGTTAAAAAACAGCAGCCTGTTCTGACATCAGTTCTAAAGTTTTCCATGTTCATTTTCTTCATCTCATATCTCCTCCAGCTCTTTCCTCACAGAACTTCTACCTTTAAGGTGATCCTGTATCCTCTCTTCTCCAACGCCTCCCTCTTTTATCTTCTTTCTTCCCCATTTCTACCCTCCATTGCACTATTCCCCTCTTTCTCTTTTCTCCTTTTCCTATCCCCCATTGTTTACCCACCTTCCATATTTTCCATTTCCCACAAACTTCTACTTTCTTGGAGGGAGGTGGAAGTCAGCAGTGGAAAGTAGGCAGTGTAAGGATATCTGAGTACCTGTTGTACATTTTTATTTTTAGAAAGGGATTTCACCAAGCTGCAGCACTTGCCTTGAGCAATCAATGAATATAAACTTTCCAGCAAAGATCTGCAGAACAATAGGAAAAATACATGGCTCCTGGCAACTCAGCCAGGAAAACACAAGTTCAGTTGCAATTTGCTCCTATCTGTAACTCTTCATCTTACTGGAAAGTGCTGCTCCATTAAGGCATTTCTTAGAGCGGTGTTCTCAAAATGCAGAGGTTTCTATCCAAAGATTCTGTCTGTTCAGGATTCAATTCTGTCTACACAGGATTGAAATTTTGCAAGTTTCCTTTAATTAAAAAATACTAAATATAAAAACCCTACAAGAAACTGAAAAGAGGAGATTAAAAAAAAACAAGATGTACTAAATTGGATGCTGACTATTGGGAAATTGAAGCTAAGTTTAAGTTGTAATTGTAAAATATTATGCAAATTTTAAACAACATTGAGAGTTTGGCCAAGGGGTCAATCTGGGTAAAAGTGGTATGACAAATGCTCAATCCTTCTTTTCCTGCCATTCTGTTATTGCTAATCCATAGCAGTTCAAAAAATGCAGAAGTTTCATGACTCTGAGAGGATGCTAAGCAAAATGTTTCAAATGGCACATTTCCCAACTGTTCATAAAAATTAGTAAAGGATAATAATTGAAATGGCTTATATTTTAATTCATATTTTGTGACCCAACCCCTAGAATGAGAAACAGCCAGAAAGATATGTGTAAAAGTTTTGCTCATAATCACAGAGGCAGAAAGTGAGGCCTTTTCACAGGAAGTCAAGAGGCGACGGCCAGACCCTAGAAAGCTGATGTTGTAACTGGACATCCAAGAAAAGAGCAAAGATTTGTGACAGATGGTCAGGGATGGAGGGACAATAGGAGGTGATTCTGCTGAGAGGGTTTTCTAATTCTATGGGGTTTAAGTCACTTTATGTTAAAGATGGCATTAATGATCCCCACAGGGAGAGATTTTAGGGGATCACAGGGAAAGTGGACAAACAGTACCTGAAGTCTAGCCAGGGAAGAGGAATTGCTGGTCTTTAGCTCTGGTCTTGAAGAAGAAGCCACGATCGTGAAGTATTTACCCTTAGAATAAAAGCTATACTTTTCATCATGACCCTTGTCTCTGTCTATTCCCTCAGCTTCATCCTACACTACCCAGACCCTGTTCACCATGCTTCAGCCATACTAGCCTTCTTTCTGTTCCAAAAGTTCAGTAATTTTAAACCACTCCTTGATTCATTTGTTTGTATCTATGAATATACTCAATAGAATATAAGCTTTTTGAAGGTAGGAACCTGCCTGTCTTGGACATGGTCGTATAGCCCATGTATGTTATAGTGGCCAACATATTACAAGTGCATCAAGAAATATTTGTTGAATGAATGAATGAACAAAGACCCACAATATGACACTTACCATGGCCATGACCTAAAACACAAGGCATATATCCGAAGTCCTGAACATAAAATTTTACTGCAGCACCAGAGAGAAATATATTATGAATTATCTTTAAAACTTAATAATAAAGTCTGTGAATATAGCTTTTCTCCTCAGGATAATGTAAACATCTTTTTATAGTTTCTTTTTTGATTTTCCAAATGAATCTCTTTGCTGTTTCCCACAGATGTTTATGAGTTTATGGGCTCCCTTCTCTGCTTGCTTCTTTGTACTTTGCTGAAATCGTGGAGTGAAAACTTCAGCATTGCATTGGCCTTATACAATATTGTATTCATCTGAGCAGTGGGAAAATCATATCATCAAATATTAAGCAGTCGGGCCTTATACCTGACTCAGGAAGCCGGCTCTTTGGAATGGAACAGGCAGTAGAAAATGCATGCCCCAAAGACACACTGGCAATCAGTTCTGGACCTTCAAGCACAGCTGTGTAGAAGGGATCTAGAGCACTCACTAATGTAACCTGTTAAGTGCTCCTTCAGGGGCCACCGTCATACGTAACTCATGTCAGTGCTGAGGCCGAGGTCCTTCAGTGTTGAAGTAGAGAGTCTTCAGAGCCTGGGGTGTGTCTCCTCCCAAGCAACAGCTACGTCCAGGGACAAATCGACTTCACATTTAGTGTCTCTCATCAAGGGAAAAGGACAGAGAGAGAATAAGGAGGGAGGAGGAGAAGAAAGAAAGGAATAAGAAGGGGGAATGAAGATGTGACAGAAAAGAGGCAGATGAATTTTAAAAAGGACAAAGAGAATAAAATGAGAAAGGGGAAAAATACAAAACAAGAGAATGTCAAATGAAAAATGAGGGCGGAAAAGTGTTAAAGAAAACAATGCAAATGAAGGGAGAAAGCTGCAAATGTCTGTATGCTGACTGGGTGGTGCCTGTGGTTGCTTTCTTGTCACTTCCAAGAAAAGTCTGGAAATTCACTCAGAATTTTGAGTTGCCTTCAGGTTCACACATTTTCGGTAAGGAATTAGATGAAAGTGCAAGATGCTGCCTTAAATTTACTTCTTAGTTTATTTCCAGGAATCTTAAGATCATCCTGGGGCCTGGGAAGAAGCCTGTCAGTGAAACCCTCACCAAGTATTTCACTCGGGAGAAATCCAAGTGCAGGGCTTGTCAAAGGGAGGAAAATCCTTAAAGTAGAGGAGACAGTTAGCTGAGAGTCTCAGGTGGATACTCATTCTATAATTTACCACTGACCCAGTCCCCTACCTGTGGTATCATGAGAAGAGGGAGGCTTTCAAGAGATCAGCACACCTCTGGGTGAATCTTGAAGTATGCCAGGCTCTGCTGCCTAACTCTGGGTGTCGTGTCTGGAAGAGGTGCACTAGGGATGGCAGGCACAGAGGGATGGACACAGGCAATTGGCTTCCTGAAGGGTGCTCCCACCTTTTGGTCATCTTAGGTTTCCAGCCACCTTCTACTCCTGCCACCCCAAGCATATTTCTAGAAGTCAACCACCAACTGCATGGTGACCATGAAAGGATCATTTTGTTCATGTGGAAGTACTCTATAATTTATCACCTAAACTAGAGCACGTTATTTGAGAGTGAGGGAGGGTGCTGTGGATGATAAGTTAGGCTGAGAGTTGTAAACAGGACCATTCTAGGCAGGCTGGAGTGCATTCTCACTGTACTCATGAGACTTCCTACGCCGATCACAATGGATTGGATAAAGGGTTGGTACCCGCCATTGAAAAGCCAGTCTAATAGCAGTCTTTTTCTAGGGATTTTAGAACTGGTAGTAAGTAGGACAGTCCCTGTCTTTCTGATGAATAAAGCTATTCTGGCAGTTATGCCAACCTGTCAGTGGCCATGTTTTCCACATTGTATCCTGGAGAGACTGAGGGGGCAGATATGAAGTCAAGGCAAAAGAACCCGGAGCAACACGTAATCTGCGTATGTGGTGCCCAGGTTCCTGTATTCCACCTCCATGATTTCTTGAATGTTCTCTTTTCTGTAACAACCAGTTGCCCTTTGGAAAAGAGAAGGAGATGGTGAAAGATAGCAGAAAGATTGAGAATATATTCCAAAGAGACTAACTTCACACTCACCAACACTCACACTCACCTGTGCTTACACATAAATGACTTCCAAGTTAGCCTGAGCTCTCTCCTATGTTCATCAATTGAACACTGAACAAAAATGTTCTGAGAGCCTATTATGCTTCCATTCCTGCGATGAAACGGTGAATAGAAACAGAATGAACCATTTATCTGCCCTCTTGCAATTTGCATTCTAGGTTGAAAAAACAGAAAATGAACAAGTAGATAAATTAGATAATTCCAGGTAGCAAACAGTATTAACAAAATAAGTTGGGGTAATGGGATAGAAAGTGACTAAGCAAAAAATGTATTATGCAGTTTATAACATGTGCATAAGTAAAATGCATAACAACAGCAGAAAGGTCTGGAGAGGAGAAATGGAAGTATACTGTTATAAGGTTCTCATATAATATGTGAAGAGTATTTCCTGTGGCTAAGGTGGTCAGAGAAGCCCTCTTTCAGGAGGTGACATTTGAACTAGCACCTTATTAATGAGGAGTATTATTTTAACTGGCTCCATGGTATGTCCAGCCATGGGAAAAGAATTTGAAACTCATTTCAAAAACTCAGCAGGGCAGCATATTCTTCCCTAACTCTAATTCTCTTCCTCTAGGTCTCAATAATATCACTATCCAATTAACCTTCCAAAAGGATTATCAGTATCTTGGTACGTCCTCAATACCCTCAATTTCCCAAGGGCGGGAAGCGTTTTTAGGTTCTTCACCACTGTGTTTCCAGGGGCTTACACAGTGCCTGACATAGGGTAAGCTCCAACATATCTTTTTGTTGACTCAACATATTTGATTATGGAAACTACCTTAATTGGTTTTCTGTTTTCTATATGATACAAGCTAAACCATTTATGAATTAATCCCATCTCCTCTATACATCTTCACCTGCAATCACTTTGTATTGACTGTATCCTGTGCATGCTGTGTTCTTTCACAGTCCAATGTCTTTACACCTGCTATGTTGAATGCCTAGTTCATCTGAAAACAAAAAACAACCCACAAAATCTATCATGCTGAGAATACAGCTGAAGTATCCTCCCTTTATGGAGACCTCCTCTAATTTATAACTGTATTTCCATATCACTAGACATTATAGCACTGGCAGTTATGTATTTCTATTATGCTGCTTCACTCATTGTGAATTGCTTTAGGTAAGAAATTTGATTCCTCACATTACTAGGTGCCCAATAATTATAGCAGTGCTAGGCACAAAAGTAGATGCTCAATAAATGCTAACTGAAGAGAGAACATGAGATTTCTGCTGCCTTACTTGTAAAAATAAATTGATCCAATAGATGTGTGCCTTTGATAAATCATTGTGATGGTTAATACCGAGTGTCAACTTGATTGGATTGAAGGATACAAAGTATTGATCCTGGGTGTGTCTGTGAGGGCACTGCCAAAAGAGATTAACATTTGAGTCAGTAGACACACTGACTATGCAAGCCATTTCTAAGTAAATTAAAAATATTAGAGTTAATTTACATACTTCATTTTATGAAGCAAACATGACTTTGGTTGTCAAATATGATGTCATGGGCAAAAATAAAAACCCATACATAACGATAGTCTAACCTATGACAGTACAAAACTATTTTTTCAAGCTTATCTTAACCAATCTACTACTCTACTTATCAACCTGATCAAAACAACTTGTTCTTTAAATATTAATAGATGGCAGCTTTAACACAAACATAAGAATAAGATTTAAATCCCCCTGTGCCAGTTCACTTATCTCCAAAATGGGAATATATCTCATGCATACCCACCTTTTTATGAGAATTAAGTGAGTTAATCTATGTAGAGTCCTATAAAATAGGGCCTGACACTTATTAAATGCTAAGCTGTATTAGAAGTCATTATTGGTAGTAGCAATCATAGTGATAGTCATAAGCGCTTGTGTGTCTCATACATTGTTCTAATTATTTTACATATTTTAATTTATGTTATCATTTCAACTACTCAATGAGGAAGGTACTAATATATGCTTTTAAATAAAAAAATTTTCTAATTCATTTTTAAGGCTATTTCTAAGCCTTAATTTTCCTAAAGTGTCATAGCTAGAAAGTGCTAAAACTGAATCTGAATTTGTACAAGTCTCTCTCTAGAAGTTCAAGCTTGAACATCTAGTTATAGTGTCTCAGAGCAGAAGGAACAAAGCTTTTAGAACTGAGCCTTCTATTCCTTAAAATCTCACTATATTTATTTGTTTTATTCACCAAATGACTAATATTATACCATACTAATTCCCACAATTAGCAATATGTAACAGTATAAAGCATATACATATTACATTTTTACATGTATTTTTATACTATATAGGTTTATATATTACTAGGTAAAACATAATTATAATAATAAATAACCAAATAAAATAAATTGTAGTTTTAAAAGTATATAAATAGATATTACATTATGTACATTATAGATCATATAAAAATGAAAAGTGAAAACAATGACATAAAGATAAAATAACCCATGTTTATATTTTAAAATAATTTTTAAATTTCTACATATTAAATATACATCACACCATTTCAAAAAGTAAATATTTTATTAATAATAAAATTTCCATAAGAACAATGTGTTTTAATATACATATTATCTTTGAAAAATATTTGTTTCACTCTTAGTGTGATGTAAAAATTCAAAAGTCTGGTGTTCGGTTTATTTTGGTTCTTGGTTTTATGCCTACAACATCTAAAAAAAGATAGCTCCCAAAGATTCATGAATCCAGATGTGGCTGTGCATAATTAATCACAACATCATTTATCATCCACATTATGCAGTGGTATTTGCAGAAATTGGATTTGTATATTTTCCATGAATCCTGAAGTCAATCAGCAGTTCCTACACACTAATGAGAAAATATTTCATTCTGATATTTTAACAAATTGGCTTAACACTCACTGAAATTCTGTATTTGGAAAGTTTCTAAATACATAAAAATTCCAATTGTAAGTCTTTTTTGTGTATGTGTTTGTATGCACACATACAGATTTTATGATTTTATTTTATTTATTTAACCAGTTTATTAGGTATACTTGGTCATTTTATGATTTTAGCAGTCACATTTGGGTTTACAGTATGCTTCATTAACTTAGCACAGCCTACCTTTGAGTGTTACAGCACTTCACATATTATACGTATAAGAACCTTACAACAGTAGACTTCTATTTGTCCTCCTGGTCTTTCTTCTATTGTTATGC
This sequence comes from Homo sapiens, assembly GCF_000001405.40. Classification (NCBI taxonomy): domain Eukaryota; kingdom Metazoa; phylum Chordata; class Mammalia; order Primates; family Hominidae; genus Homo; species Homo sapiens. The sequence continues at coordinate 85,381,976 of NC_000010.11, forward strand.
ATTTTATTTATACATGTTATAAATTGCATAATACTTCTTTGCCTTAAATGATAAATTATCTTATAAAAAGATTTTATAAAACAAGAAAATATCTTTTATATTTACCACATATCTAACAATTTCCAGTGGTTTCTGTTATTTTATGTAGATCTTATTTCTATCTCATATATTTTTTCTTCTGTCATTAGGACTTTAACCCTTTTTATAGCGTAGGTCTGCTGGTGATAAATTATTTCAGCTTCCATAAGCCTGCGAAAAAGTAGTTTGCCTTCGTGATTGCAAATATTTTACTGGGCATAGAATTTTAAGTTGACAGTTTTGTTTTGTTTTGTTTCTTTCAGTACTTTTGAAATATTCCTTCACTGTCTCCTACCTTATGTTGTTTCTAAGGAGAAGTTTAACGTTTTTTTTCTTTCTTTTTTTGGTTCATATTTTTGTTTCTTATCTAAGAAATCTTTGCCTAATCCCAGATAACTAATATTAAAATGTAAAACCTAAACCTGTAAACCTTATAGAAGAAAATATAGGAGAAATTCCTATGACCTGGGTAGTTTTTTGCTTTTTGAGTCACTTTGAGTCAGAATATAAAAAGACAAGCTACAAATTAGGGGAAATACAACTAACACAAATACCTTTAGCCAGAACATATAAAGAACATTTAAATCTAAATATAAACACATATTTTTAAAAGCAACTAAAAATAAACAGAAAAAGATTTGAACAGAAATTTTACCAGTAAAGAATTTTGAATGTCAAACAGGCAAAAGATTAGCAACATCATTCAACATTAGGAAAATGCAAACTATGACTATAATGATAGACTGCTATTATACTACACAGTCACTAGTTACTAGAACAGCTAAAATTGAAAAGACTCATTGCATATTGGCGATGATCTGGAGTAACTGACACTCTCAGATATTCGTTAATGGGAATGTAATTTTATAGTTTCTTATAAAGTTAAATATGCACTTGCAATACTAGAGGCAGGAATCCTACTCCCAGGTACTGATCCAAATGAAATAAAAATTTATGTCTACCCAAACAGCTTACAAAAATGTTTATAGATTATTTATCAAAAGTAACCCGAAATCAGACATGACTCAAATTTCCATTCAGCTGGTAGATGAGTAAATCACTCGTGGCATATCCATACAATTAAAGGGAATAAACTAATGATGCATGAACCACATGAATAACTCTCAAAACTTTGTACATGATAAAAACATATGAAGTTAGCTGCCAATTTTTAAAAGAAGAAAATAAATTTAAAAAGCCACACATAAAAGCCTACATTCTGCATGGTCCCATTTACATTAAATTCTAGAAAGGTCAAATCTATGATGACAGCAAGCAAATTAGAGGTTAACTGGGTCTGGGATGGAGTGAGAGTATTGACTGCAAAGAAGCGTAAGAAAAACTTGGGGAGTAATAGATATGTTTTATATCTTGCCTTTGGTGATGTCAACACACATGCTTGGATTTGTGAAAACATCAAGTTTTAAGACTAAAATTGACACATTTTATTAGGTTATTCAAAGATAAAGCCTTTTTTTTCAAAACCGATAAAACCCAATATAAAGTAAGCAAATACCCAAAACCACACATATACAAAAATAAAAGGCAAACCTCCAACTGAAAGATGACTTCTTAGAACACTATGAAATGGAATCCTCCAGATATTCTATTATTAAAGAATAATAGAACATACTTAATTAGATACTTAATTAGATTTTACAGGGATGCAAAGATTGATTCCATACTAAGAAATGTACTACAGGGTTTGTCTTCTATAAGAAATCAAAAAAGGAACATCATAGGATATTCTCACTACCTTCTGAAAGGAGTTGGGTCAAATTCTGTATTCATGAATTTAGGTAAGGATAAAAGAATTATTCACACACCCAGTCAATTGAGATGATTATGCTTGCTTCCACTAATGTCAGGAATAAGACAAAAATGTAATACTTCTTTACAACAGTTGTACTGGAAGTACTTGCTTATGCAATAAAAATAAACTAAAAGGAAGCATAAACATTAGAAATAAAGGGATGGAGGAAAATCTACCAAGCAAACTGAAAACAGAAAAGAGCAAGGATTGCAACCCTAAGTTCAGACAAAATAGATTTCAAACCAACAAGAATAAAAAAAAAAGACCATGAAAGCCATTACATAATGGTAAAGTGTTCAATTCAACAAGACCTAGCTATCCTAAATATATATGCACCCAACACAAGAGTGTCCAGATTCATAAAGCAAGTTCTTAGAGACCTACAAAGAAACATAGACTCTCACACAATAATAGTGGGAGACTTCAACATTCCACTGACAGACTAACAGTATTAGACAGATCATTGGGGGGCAGAAAATTAACAAAGATATTCAGGACCTAAACTCAGCATTGGACCAAATGGATCTAGTAGACCTTAAAAATATACATTCTTCTCTTTGCCCTATGGCACATACTCTAAAACTGATCACATAATTGGACATAAAACAATCCTCAACAGAGGCCGGGAGTGGTGGCTCACGCCTGTAATCCCAGGACTTTGGGAGGCTAAGGTGGGCAGATCACAAGGTCAGGAGATCAAGACCATCCTGGCTAACACGGTGAAACCCTGTCTGTACTAAAAATACAAAACCAAACAAAACAAAAATTAGCCGGGCATGGTGGGAGGCGCCTGTAGTTCCAGCTACTCGGGAGGCTGAGGCAGGAGAATGGCGTGAACCCGGGAGCTTGCAGTGAGCTGAGATCGCGCCACTGCACTCCAGCCTGGGTGACAGAGCGAGAGACTCTATATATATATATAAAAAAAAAAAAATTAACAAAGGTAAAACAATCAAAAATCATACCAAACACACTCTTGGATCACAGCACAATAAAAAAAGAAGTCTGTGCAGCAAACCACCATGGCACATGTTTACTTATGTAACAAACCTGCGCATCCTGTACATGTACCATAGAACTTACAATAAAAATAAAAAACAAAAGAATTTCACAAACACAGTGAAAACATCAAACAATAAAAATATCATAATATGCAAAAAAGACTATGAAAATTCCTCAAAACCATGCAATAACAGGAAATTAAACAGCATGCTCCTGAATGACTTATGGGTAAATAATGAAATTATGGCAGAAATCAAGAAGTTCTTTGAAAATACTGAGAACAAGAATACAACATACCAGAATCTCTGGGACACAGCTTAGGAAGTGTTAAGAATGAAATTCATAGCATTACATGCCTACATCAAAAAGTTAGAAAGATCTCAAATTAACAACCTAACTTCACAACTAGAAGAATTAGAGATGCAAGAATGAAGCAACCTCTAAGCTAGCAAATTATGGAAAATAAAAATCAGAGCTGAGTTGAAGGAAATGAAACATGAAAAACCATTCAAAAGATCAGTAAATCCAGGCATTGGTTTTTTTGAAAAAAATAATAAAATAGATACGCCACTAAGTTGACTGATAAAGAAGAAAAGACAGAAGATACAAATAAACATAATTAAAAATGATGAAGGGAATGTTACTACTGACCTCACAGAAATAAAAACAACCATCGGAAACTACTACAAATGCATTTACACACACAAACTAGAAAACCTAGAAGAGATGGATACATTCCTAAACATATACACCTTCCCAAGACCGAGCTAAGAAGAAATTGATTCCCTGAACAGACCAATAATGAGCTCTGAAATTGAGTCAGTAATAAATAGCCTACCAACCAAAAGAGCCTGGAACCTGAGGGATTCACAGCCAAATTCTGCCAGGTGTACAAAGAAGAAAAGGTAACATTCCTACAGAAACTATTCCCAAAAATTGAGGGGGGACTCTTCCCTAACTCACTCTTCGAGGCCAGTATCATCTTGATACCACAACCTGGGAGAGACACAACAAAAAAAGAACATTTTAAACCAATAACTCTGATGAACATTGATGCAAATATCCTCAATAAAATATTTGCAAAGTGAATCCAGCATCACATTAAAAAGCTAATTCACCATGATCAAGTAGGCTTATGCCTAGTGCAAGATTGGATCAACATACACAAATCAATAAATGCTATTCATCACACAAGTAGAGCTAAAGACGAAACCACATGATTAACTCAAAAGACACAGAAAAGGCTTTTGATAAAATTCAATACCACTTCATATTAAAAACTCTTAATAAGCAAGGTATTAAAGGAATATACCTCAAAATAATAAGAGCCATTTATCAGAAATCTACAGCCAACATTATACTGAATGGGCAAAAGCTGGAAGCATTCCCCTTGAAACCCAGCGTGAGACAAGGATGAATTCTTTCACCACTGCTATTCAACATAGTATCGGAAGTCCTGGCCAGAGCAATCAGGCAAGAGAAAGAAAGAAAAGGCATCCGAATAGGAAGAGAGGAAATCAAACTATCTCTGTTTGCAGACATGATTCTAATCAAGAAAACCCCATAGTCTCAGCCCAAACACTCCTTCAGCTGATAACTTTGGAAAGTTGCAGGATACAAAATCAATGTACAAAAATTACTAGCATTTCTCTACACCAACAACAGCCAAGCCTAGAGACAAGTCAGAAATTAGAAAGGCAATCCCATTCACAATTGCCACAAAAAGAATAAAATACCTAGGAATACAGCTACCCATGGTGGTGAAAGATCTCTACAATGAGAATTACAAAACACTGCTCAAAGAAACCAGAGAAGACACAAACAAATGGAAAAGCATCCCCTGCTCATGGATAGGAAGAATCAATATAATTAAAATGGCTGTATTGCCCAAAGCAATTTACAGATTCCGTGCTATTTCTACCAAACTACCAATGACATTCTTCACAGAACTAAAAAATACTATTTTAAAATTCATAAGGAGCCAAAAAAAAAAAAAAAGCCAGAATAGCCAAGGAAATTCTTAGCAAAAAGAACAAAGCTGGAGGAATCATGATACCTGACTTCAAATTATACTACAGGGCTACAGTAAACAAAATGGCAGGATACTGGTACAAGAACAAACACATAGACCAATGGAACAGAATAAAGGCCCCAGAAATAAGGCCACACATCTACAATCTTCTAATTTTCAACAAAGCTGACAAAAATAAACAATGGGGAAGAGACTCCCTATTCAATAAATGGTGCTGGGATAACTGTCTAGCCATATGCAGAAGATTGAAGCTGGACCTTTACTTACACCATACACAAAAATAAAATCAACTGAAGACGCATTGTATATTAAATGTAAAACCCCAAGCTATAAAACCCTGAAAGACAACCTAGGAGATAATACCCTGGACATAAGAACAGGCAAAATTTCATGACAAAGATAACAAAAACAATTGCAACAAGAGCAAAAATTGACAAGTGGGATCTAATTAAACAGGAGCTTCTACACAGCAAAAGAAACTGTCAACAGAGTAAACAGATTACTTCCAGAATGGGAGAAAATTTTTGCAAACTACACATCTGAGAAAGGTATAACATCCAGCATCTATAAGGAACTTAAACAAATTTACAGGAGAAAAACAAATAGCCCCGTTAAAAAGTGTGCAAAGAGCATGAACAGACACTTCTTAAAAGAAGACATAAAACCCATGCAGCTGGCAAGCATATGAAAAAAGCTTAATATCACTGATTATTCGAGAAATGCCAATCAAAACCCAATGAGATACTATCTTACATCAGTCAGAGTGGCAATTACTAAAAAGTCAAAATAGATACTGGCAAGGTTGTGGAGAAAAGGGAACACTTACACACTGTTGGTGGGAGTGTAAATTAGTTCAACCATTGTGGAAAGCAGTATGGTAATTCCTCAAATAACTAAAAGCAGAACTACCATTTGACCTAGCAAACCCATTACTGGGTATACTCCCAGAGGAATAAAAATCATTATATCATAAAAAACATATACACATGAATGTTCATTGCAGCACTATTAACAATAGCAAAGACATGGAATCTACCTAAATGCCCATCAGTGACAGATTGGATAAAGAAAATTTGGTACATATACACCATAAAATACTATGCAACCATAAAAAGGAACAAGGTCTTGTCTTTTGCGGGAACATAAATGGAGCTGAAAGGTATTATGCTTAGTAAACTAATACAGGAACAGAAAAATAAATACTGCATGTTCTCACTTATAAGTGGGAGCTAAATGATGAGAACTTATGAATACAAAGAAAGAAACAACAAAAACTGGGGTCTACTTGAGGGGGGAGGGTGAGAGGAGGGAGAGGAGCAGAAAAGATAACTATTGAGTATGGGACTTAATACCTGGGTGATGAAATAATATGTGCAACAAACCTCCATAACATATGTTTACCTGTGTAACAAACTTTCGCATGTACCCCCAACATAAAATAAAAGTTAAAATATAAAAATAAAATAATAAAAAATAAAAACTATTAGGTTGCACCAAAAACAATGTTGCAAATGTCATTGTAGATAATTTTTTGCATAACAAGAAAATCCAAGCTAATCAACTGAAAAATTAGTATTCCTTCCATGTAAAGTTCTAAAAGTGGTTAGGCAAAAGTTCAATAGACATAAATTCGGAATTTTCTCATACTCTAGAAGTAGCTAATTAGGAAAGAAAAATTGGGAGAACAAATTTTATGCATAATGTCAACAAAAGACTTAGATATCACCCTAAATAGAAATGTACAGAAACTATGAATCTTATTTAAAAAAATCCAAAAGGTGCCAAAAATATGGCAGATATAGAATGTTCCCCTGCCAAAAGACTTACTATTTTTATATAAATTATTTATTTTTAAATAGATTTACAGAAAAAATGTGAAAATAGTATGAGAATTCCCATGTACCCTGTACCCAGTTTCCTCTGTTGTTAAGATCTTACCCTAGCATAGTACATTTAAACTTATTATTTAGAAAATATCTATTTTCTACTTATAGTTGACAAAGCCATTTGAATCACAAATATCCCAATATAATGTCTTCTCTGGAAGACATAACAGTTTGATTCTAAAAGGTATTTAGAAGAGCGATGGTGCAAAAATATCTAATATAGTTTTGAAAATGGAAAATACAAATTATTGATTTTAAAAACATAAAAAAATTAAAATGCTGATATAAAAACACTATAATTACAACTACGGTCTTCATGTATAGGACTAGCAGTTAATACAGGAGAACAAATAATCCAAAAAACAAAAACAAGTAAAATTTATTATATGATTAGTGTAATCTCTAATAATGAACCTATATCTGTGAAATCCTTGTTTAAATATAAACCACAATAAAAATGAATAAAAAGTATCAACATATACCGCTGAATAGTTTTCTAGCCTATGTCATTTTTTCGACTAAACAACATTGAGAAGGAAAATGATTTTTCTTCTCCTTTGGTTCTGTATTTGACAGTTAATAAGTAATATTTAGCATTTTGTTTCATTTACAGGTATTCATTAACAAAATATTTGTGAGTTTTAAATGGTATACAAGAAAAAGAAGAGACTAAAACCTACAGTATAGGCACCAACGAGTCTTTTATTGACAGAAAGACAACAAACTGTAAATATTAAAATTGAATACCTTCTTTATGAGAAGAGATACTATGCAGCCATAAAGAAAAAAAAAGAAGGAGATCATGTCCTTTGCAGGGACATGGATGGATCCTCAGCAAACTAATGCAAGAAAAGAAAACCAACACCACATGTTCTTACTTATAAGTGGGAGCTGAACAATGAGAATACATGGACACAGGGAAGGGAACAACACCCACTGGGGCCTGTTGAAGTGGGGATGTGAGGAGAGGGAGAACATCAGGAAAGATAGCTAAAGCATGTTGGGTTTAATAAATAGGTGATGGGTTGATAGATGCAGCAAAACCCCATGGCACGCATTTACCTATGTAACAAACCTGCACATCCTGCACATGTACCATGGAACTTAAAATAAAATAAAATAAAGAAATAAAATTTTAACATAATTTTAGAAATTATTTTTAAATAATTTTAAAATTTTAGGAAAAATTTTAAAAATGACATATCAGAAGAGATGCAACAGAATAATGGGCACTGGATATATTAATATACTATTTGATTAATTGAATATTGTTATGATATGGCAAAATGTTTATAATATATAGATGCAAGTATGTCAAATACCTAAATTATACCAAAAGAAATACAATTTTCCTGCTATTGAGAGAGTTAAATTTTCTGCCTATTAAAATGCAAAATGATATCAGAAAGAAGTTAATTGATTTAGAGATAAATACATAGTTTTAAAATTATGTGGGGGAAATATACAGTAGAAAAGGGTAATTTAAAATTATAAACAAAATGATATAAAATGATTTGTTGATATCAAATTCAAGTTAGAAATGTCTAAAAAGGAGAAAAGAGCTAATTGGATTCGGAAAGAAAACGAAGTAAGAGATATTAGTTCAGCAATGAAGATTAAATTACATGGTGATCAAAGAAGAATGAATTCAATACAGTAAGTGGAACATTAGAGAAATGAATAAAAATATCCAGGAAGAGAAAAATGAAATAAAGAAGTAAAAATGATGAGACAGAAAGTGATACATACGGAAAGTAAGTTAAGATTATCAGAGAGAGATAGGTGGGGAGGTAGACAGATAGATGACAGACAGATAAGGAGAGGGAGAGATATATATCACTGCTTAAAACTAGTGATGAAGATAAAATCATAGAAGTAGCCAGAAAAAAAAAGGTAAGGATGCCGGCTAAGTACAGAGCTATAAACATAAAGATGATGGCAAATTTCTCATCATCTTTAAAAATCTTTTAAACACTAAAATAAAAAGAAATCCATTGAACAAGAATCCTACACCTTTTGAAAATATCCTTCAAAAATAAAGGAAAAATTAAGTCTCTCTTCAGGGAACCAAAGGGTGAAAGACTTAATCACCAGCAAACCTGTACTAAAAAAAAATGTTAAAGGAAGTACTTCAGACAAAAGGCAAATAATATCAGAGGAAAATAAAGATTTACATAAAAGACAAATGAAAACCAGAAATGGTTACTATGTGGATATGCATAGAATGCATTTTTCTTGTTATTTAAATATTTTTAGAGGATGATTACTATTTGAACAAGATATAATAACAAAGTAGTGTGGAGTTTCTAACAAATGCTAAAGTAAAATGAATGGCAAAAACAGGAATAGAGCAGAGAGTGGGAAAATTGAAGAATGGTGTTGTGTTCTGACACTATACATGAGGTGGCATGTCACTTAAATGCAGATAGCAATAAAGGAAAGATGTATATTCTAAACTCTAGGACAGCCAGTAAAATAACAAAACAAAAACTGATGGCTAGTAAGCTAACAAGGAGATAAACAGAATCACAAATAATATTCAATTCGTCCAAAAGAGGGAAGAAAAAGAGGAAGTAGTAGATAAAACAGATGGGACAAACAGAAAACAAATAAAATAGTAAATTTAAGCTGAAACATATCAATAAACACATTCAATATAAATGATCTAAACCAATGGCTTTCCTGCACAAACACAAAGCAACAATTGTTAGACTGGATGAAAAAGCAAGATCAAAATATATGCTGCCTACAAAAAGACTTCCTTTAAAGATAATAACACAAATAGGTTGAAAGTAAAGAGATGAAAAAAAATCAAGCTAAAACTAAATAAAGGAAAGCAGAAGTAGCTGTATTAATATTTGATAAAGTAAATTTCAGTGCAAAGAACATTACCAGGGATAAATAAGTTTATGTCACATAATAAAGGAGTCAATTTGTTAAGAAAAAATTACAATTCTAAATGTTTATGCACCTAATAAAAGAGCTTCAAAATATACGAAGCAAAAACTAATCTAACTGTAAAGATCAACAAATCCACAATTTCAGTCAGACACTTCAATATCCTTTACTCAATAATTGATAGAACGACTAGGTAGACATTCTGTAAGGGTGTAGAAGACTTGAACAATCCTAGCAAAATGTGACCTAATTCACATTTCTACCACACGCCACCCCACAGCAGTAAAATATTCATTCATTTCAAGTGTACACAGAACATTTATCAAGATAGACCATATTCTGGATCATAAAGCTGTTCTCAATAAATTTAAAATGATTCAAGTCATGCAAAGTACGTTCTCTGACCACAATGGAAACACATTTGAGAAAAAATAACAAAAAGTCATTTGGAACATCTTCAAATATTCAGAAATTAAATAAGTCTAAATAGTGAATAAGTCAAAGTGTAAACCAAAAGGAGAATTAGAAACCTTTTTTAACTTGATGAGAACAAAAATGTAACATATCAGAATTTGTGAGATACTGCTAAAGCAGTGCTTAATGAGAAATTTATAAAACTACAAATATTAGAAAAGAACAAGGGCCTCAAATCAATGACTTCAACTTCCACTTTAGGAAACTAGAAAGAGGAAATAAAGCCCAAAACAGCAAAATAATGTTCAGCAGGTTTTTTTAAACATTATATATACACCTAACTTATGATCCAGCAATTCTCATCCTAAGCATTTCCCCAAAAGATATAAAGCCTATTTTTACACAAACATTCATAGAAGCTTTATTTTGTAATAGCCAAAAATTGAAACAAATGTCTATTAACAGATTAATAGATAATCAAATTGTTGTAAATCCATACAATACTGCTCAGCAATAAAAAGGAAGTAATTACTGAAACGAGAAATAACATGGGTAAATTTCAAAATAATTATGCTGTTGGAAAAAAGCCAAATGCCCCTCCCCAAGAAAATCCCCAAATACTGTGCTATTTCATTTATATAAAATAAATAAAAATTATACAAATAAGCCATGAAATAGCGACAGGAAGGAATTCAGTGATAGAAACAAATGGTGACAGAAAGTCTAAGAGGCTGAGTGGATCTGGGAGGTTTAAGAGGGAAGTATTATCAAAGGGTACTTTTGGAGGTGATTAATATGTTCATTATCCTGAGTGTGGTAATAGTTTCACAAGTGTACACATATTCAAAAATTTATCAAACTGTGCACTTCAAATAGGTGCAGTTTATCATATGTCAGTTAAACATCATAAGAAGCTGTTATAAATATTGTAAAACTAGCAAAAGTAGGAAGTATCTTCATGACTTGGAGTAAGCAAAGATGTTTCTGGGAGACTACAAAAAGCACTAACCTACAACAGTCCCCAGTGTGTGATGTTCCCCTTCCTGTGTCCCTGTGTTCTCATTGTTCAATTCCCACCTATGATTGAGAACATGGCGGTGTTTGGTTTTTTGTCCTTGTGATAGTTTGCTGAGAATGATGGTTTCCAACTTCATCCATGTCCCTACAAAGGACATGAACTCATCATTTTTTATGGCTGCATAGTATTCCATGGTGTATATGTGCCACATTTTCTTAATCCAGTCTATCATTGTGGGGTGGGGGGAGGGGGGAGGGATAGCATTAGGAGATATACCTAATGCTAAATGACGAGTTAATGGGTGCAGCACACCAACATGGCACATGTATACATATGCAACAAACCTGCATGTTGTGCACATGTACCCTAAAACTTAAAGTACAATAATAATAAAATAAAATAAAAAGCACTAACCTACAAGACAGTTAAGACAATGAAAATGTAAGCCTTGGAGTGTAAGATATGCATACAACATATTTCCAACAAATAGACTTGTATCCAAAATACATAATTCTTAAAAATCATTAAGAAAAATATTGACAATGTAATAAAAGTAGTGGAAAAAACTAATTTTACTTATTCTAGAATGACCAAGCAAGCTTTTACCTGATCCAAACATCCTGGAAATAATAAGCATATATTTATCATTATTTAATAAGAAAAAATTTAAAAATAAAATTACATGAAGGCACTGGAGAGTATGAAAAGCATCTACATCCGGAAGGGTCTTAAAGCTTGGGAGAAGGGGCCAGTGCAATGAGTGAGAGAAAATCAAAGTTTTACAGGACAGCTAAAACTCCAATAGAAGAAAGCAGTTTATCTGAGCTGAAAAGCCCGAGACAGAGTCTGAAGCAACCACAGCTATTAATACTAAAACCTGATTACAGAAACCTACAAAAAAAAAAAAAAAAAAAAAAAAAAAAAAAAGCCAGACATGGGAGCAGTTGCAGAAAGAAAATGCAAGCAAGTGGCAGTTTAAACACTGCCCAAATCTCTGGCTTAACCCTCAACCACACATGCATAGGGCAGATTCAAAGCCATACAGTTAGAAGTTTTTAAAATCTAAACTTATATTGCGGTTGACAAACAAACAAACAAACGAAAAACAGAGTTATCAATTTGTGTCCAACCAAGTTAACACTCTACAGGGGAATAGGCAAAATCCAGAGTCTCCACATGAGCACATTCACAGTGGACAGGATACAATAACAAAACAGCCTCAACAGAAAAAACAGTCAACTGAAACTGGTACCAAAATGATCTAAATGTTGAAATTAGCAAACAAAAATCCTAAATCAGCTGTTATAACTACATCTTATAAGTAAAAGAAAATGTGCTTATACAAATAAAAACCTTGGAAATATAATCAGAAAAAATAGAATCTACAAAAATTCAAGTGGAAATTCTAAAACTAAACAATGTATTATCTAAAGTTAAGAACACACTCTACGGGTTTAACATCATAATAGAATTATTAATTGCAGGGCAGAAGGAGGAAAATACTTAAAAGAAAGAGAGAGACAGAGACAGGGGAGACTAGAGCAGAAAAAAATATTTGAAATTGTAATTTCTTCAATGTTTCCAATTTAGTGACATATAATAAAGAGACAAACTCCATGTTTAGTGTTTGATTTCTGACTGCTTTTAAGCCCCACTCTGCTTCTTCGGATTTCTGCCCATATTAAGGCAAGCAAATAAGAAAGCCCAAGTGTGTCCTCCTTTTACACCAATGGGAAGTTCAAACCAGGCAGCCCTGGAGTGCATGGAGGAACACCCAAGCTGAATCTAATCCCTAACCACCATAAAAACCCCAAGCCAATCCCCTTTGTCTGCTTTCTCATGTCATTTCTGATCTTCTTGGGAAGCCTGCCCTTCTCTCCCTAGAAAGTTTTATTAAGGGAGTAATAAGTATGTTCATATTCTCTTGGTATGTGTGTATAGCATTATCAGGCTTGACATTTGCATCAATTTGGGAGGTTTGGGGGGGACTTCATCCCACTTCTATTGGGTGACCAGAACATGACATCATAAATTTACAGATTTAAGAAGCTTATATAACTCCAAGCAGATTAGGCACACACACACTTCTAGGAACACCAGTTAACATGCTAAAACCAAAAAGAAAGAGCAAATTTTAGAGGCAACTATAGAAAAACAATAAACTATCTATAGACATATATTGATTTGAATGACCACTATCTTCTCAAAAATTATGGAGTTTAGAAGACAGTGGAAAGTTATCTTTGAATTGAGAGAAAAGTAATCTCAGTCCAGAATTGCATATCTTTGAGTGACTGAGAAATTAATTTATTTTTATATAAGAGAAAATTAAGAAAATCCTCTGGACCTGGACATAAACTGTAAGAAAAACCAGACTTGAAGGAGGGTGCCATCAACATTTAGTGTTTAGAACACAGAGATCTCTAAACATCCTGCAAAGCATAGGACAGTTGCATAAAACAAATAATTATGCAGCCCAAAATGTCAAGAGTGTAAATATTGGGTATCACTAAGTTAAGATATTCATGACAGGGTAGTACTGACAGAAGAGTTGACAAATACATAGATGAAATAAACTAGAGCATCCAGAAATACAACCACAGTCATTTCCTTTTAATGAAGGTCTCAAAAGTATTTATTGGGAAAGGAAATTCTTCTCAACAAATGGTACTTATATAACTAGATATCCTTTTTGGGAAAAATAATGAACCTTCAACCCTACCTAATACTATATGTATAATGAAGTTAAATCCTAGGCCTAAAATAAAAGCTAAAACTAAAGAGATTTTAGTGGATACCACAGGAGAATATATTTGTGATTTAGGAATATTCTTAGAGAGGTCGTGGAAAACAATAACCCTAAAAACAAAATTGATTGGTTAGACTTAACTGTTACTTTTTAAAAATCTGCTCTTCAAAAGAATATAGGAAAGCTCACTCTGGGAGAAAATTAAACAGTTCATTTCTAAATAATTCATTGATCAAAGCAAAACAAAACAAGAAAAATAAGGAACCAAACTGAAAAGGGACATTAGAATATATTTTTATCTGCATGACAATGAAAACACTTGTTAAAATTAGTGAGACACAGCGACATCAGTGCTTAGAAGGAAATTTACAGCTTTAAAGGCCTATATTAGCAAATAAGAAAGGCCTCAAACCGTTGACCTAAATTTTGACCATATGAAACTAGAGAAGGAGAATAAAAGTAAACATAGATAAAGCAGCAATAAAGAAACAAATATTATACCAGAAATCAACAAAATGGAATAAGGAAAAATCTAAAGAAAAATAACAGTGAAACCAAAAGGTTTTTCTTTGAACATGTAAACAAAATGAATAAATCTTTACCTAAACTGACAAACTAAAAATAGAAAAGACATAAAGTATCAAAACCAAGACTAAAGGAGAAAACATCACTCCCAATCCCATGTAAATCAAAAGATTTTCTTTTAAAACAATACTATAAATAACAATATCAACAAATTAAACAACTTAATAAAATATAAACTCTTAGACACAAATTATCAAGGATTACTCAAGAAAAATTCTGAATATGCATATAACCAACATATAAATATTGCATTCCTAATTTAAAATATTCTCACAAAAATAAGTCCAGGCCCAGATGACTTCACTTGTGTAATCTACCAAATATTTAAGGACTATAATTTAAAGAATAATACAAACCTTTCACAAACTGTTTCAGAAAATAGAGAAGTAGGGAACGGTTCTCATTTCATTCTATCAGGCCAACACTACTCAGATATTAAAGCTAAAGACATGAAAATAAAACAAAGTGAAAAATAGATACAAAAATTCTCAACTACATATGAGCAAACTATATCCATCAACATATGAAAATAAAAACATATCATAACCAAGTGGAATTTGTGCTAGAATTGCAAGGTTAGTTTAACATCCAAAAAGCAATCAAAGCAATACACCACATTAATAAAATAAAGGACAAAAAAGATCATCTTAATAGATGCAAATAAATCATTTAACAAAATCTAATACTTACTTATGATAAAAATCTCTCAACAAACTATGAATAAATGGAATGTCCTCAAACTGAAAAAGGACATCTATCATCACACTCAATGGTATCATACTCAATGGTAAAAGATTGAATGTTGTCTCCCTAAGATCCATAACAATGCACAATGCATGCTCTTACCACTTCCATTCTACATTATACTGAAAGTTATGTCCAGTGCAATCACACTGAAATATAGGATACTCAGATTGTAAAAAAGAAGTAAGACTGTCTTTATTTGTATGCACAATCTTATATGTAGACAGTCCTATGGAATTCACACACATAAACGTGCACACACAAGCAAATGCACATGCAACTACTGGAACTAACGATACAGATCAGCAAGATCACTGGGTTCAAAAATCAATATACAAAAACCAAGTCCATCTATATATGCGAACAATAAATAACTTAAATATGAAACTAAGAGAATGATGCCACTCACAACATTAAAAATAATAAAAAGACATTGGGGAAATAAATAAGTTCCTGTACACAGAAAACTACAAACATTTCTGAGAGAATATAGAAAATATATAAATAAAATGAGAGACACTCCATGTTAATGGACTGGAAGACTTAATATTGTCCATATGGTAGTTCCATCCAAATTGATTCTATGCTGTTTACATGCAGGGAGAAAGTGTTTTGGTTATTTAACGTAACATTATTTCCCCTTGAGGGTCCTATTTCTCACTGTAACCTTGACATCCATTTGTATTTCAGTCTCTGTGAGTTTGGTTAATGCAAGTGTGATCATACTCTGGTGTTTGTTGGAAATTGTTGCTTGCTTATCCAGCATCTATTTTCTCTTCCTAATAATACTTGTTTTAAAAAATTTTCTGCTCTCCCTTTCCCAGCAGTTCACTGTAGCCCCTGCTCTAGGGAAGTGGTCCTAATTCATAACCCACTGTAGATACACTCCTTGCAGGGATTGTGTGGATTGCTGCAGGAACACAGATAACATCCACCAAAATATAGCAATTAAATCAGAAATGAGCAAGAGACCCATTTGAGTCCAAAGACTCACAGGGAATATATCTATGATGGGAGAGCAGTTATTTTTGAGAAGTCTCGTCAATCTTTTTTTTTTTTTTTAAAGAGAGACCCTAAAAATTAAGATTCCTTCAGCATCAAGATGAAGTGGACGCCAAGAGGAAAGCAACGTCGAGAGAATGGTAGAAATACGGAGCCAGGTGCTGATGAACAGAGCAGGCACCTGACTTGGTAAATCCGCTTTGTGGTTTTAGCCAGTTTGAATTGGATTTTTTGTTTCCGGTGACTTAAGACATTTCAACTTATTCAGGCTCTGACAAAATCAAGTTTCTAGAACTGTGGAAATGAAAGCCTGACTGTGAAACAGTGTGGCTTCACTATGTGTTTCTCCTTTCTGCAGTTTTCCAGGGGTGCCTCCCAAAATACCTAAATTAGGAAAACAAGCTATGAGTGATAAAAAATCTTTAAGTCAATGCTGACAAGATTGTGGGGAAACATGAACAGTGCAGTTTGTTTTTGGCATAGCAAATTGATTCAATCTTTCTAAGGAGAAATCTGTTGCTATGTAATAAAATCTTTAAAACTGTTCAGTTTTGACCCAGAAATTCAACTTCTGTGATTATATCTAAAGAAATTCTCCTGAATAAAAATAAACAAAATTTTAGGTCCTCATAGAAATACTATTAGAAATAGGAAAAAAGCTGGCAAATAATTCAATTACCAATCAAATGGGGAGGATGATAAATTAACATAAAGAAATATTGTTGTCTATCCAAATAAAAAAAAATTGGAACTGTGCTTACTTGAAACAAATATGAAATAAAGCTAAATCAAAACAGTAGAACACAAAATGGTAAGAACACATTATTCCCTAGGACATCAGCCTTTCTTTATGTGCTCATAACTTATCAAAACACATTATCTTCTACAGATATAGGGGAAGGTTACTCTCCTATAAACACATAAACACACACACACATAACACACACACCCAACTACCTCCCCCAGACACAGCAGTAGCAACTTGAACTGAGTAGTGAGCTAAGAAATAGAAACACAAATGGGAAAAAAGATCAATACATATCTTTATAACCTTACTGTGGAGTATGGAGCACAACAGATGGGCAGGAAATCACTGAATGAATAAGGTATTCACCAGTTGTGATAAGCTTGGTGGCAATAAGTATGGTGATGGGGAGTGTGTAACTGGGTGAATGAGGTTATGGACTGAATGTTTGTGTCCCCCCAGTATATTAGTACATGGAAGCCCTACCTTCCAATGTTGGTATTTGAAGATGGGGCCTTGAGGAGGAAATTATGTTTAGATGAGGTCATGAGAATGGGATTAGAAGAAGAGGAAAAGACTGGAGTTTGCTCACTCTCTCTCCTCCTTGTGAGGACATAGCAAGAAGGTGGCCGCCTGAGATCCAGGAAGAGAGCCCTCACCAGGAACCAAATTAGCCACCGCCTTATCTTGATGTCCCAGCCTCCGGGTGAGAAATGAATGCCTGTTGTTTAAACCACCCTGCCCATGGTGTTCTGTTTAGTAGCTTGAGCTAAGTTAGGTTTCTTTGGATTAGGTGGTAAGGAAACAATTTTTCTGAGGAAAAGATATTTAAGCTGAGATTTAAATAATGAAGAGAAGCTTTCCAAGAGCTAGGAGAAGAGAGTCTATGTAGGGCTGTTAATAAATGTAATAAACTGAGATGAGGAAAGCTTAGCATATTCCAGGAAGAGAAAAGGCACCATTGTGACCAAAGCACGTACCAGGGTACAAAGGGCACACCATGGCCTTCTAGAAGGACCCAGGAGCCCTACATGCAAGACCTTTCCTGCCACAGTAAAGAACTGGATTTGTACTAAGTGTAATGGTTGCCATTAAGTGGACTGAGGAAGGGGAAGGAAATGATCATAGTTATTTTTTAAAGGGATCACTCTTGCTGCCATATAGGCAGTGGATAAATTATAGGGGCCCAAGTTTGGAAGCAGGGAGAACAGTGAGGAGGTTGCAGTAGGGTCCCAGGGAAATATGATGGTGACCTAGACCACGGCTGCAGCAATGACACTCAGAGCAGCACAGCTTGTTTGGAAGTACCTTTACTAGGACACACAAGTGGATTCAAGATGGGAGCAGAAAGCAGGGGAAACACCAAAGCCAGATCACAGGAGTGTGGGTTGGACTTCCTGCTACTTCACTGCAGGTACAGAGCATGCAGTCTAGAGAACAATACTAATGATGATCCCATGTGATCCCCAAATAGAATATACAGGCAGAAAGCTTATGATGAAAAGCATGAACCAACACACAAAGCTGGTGGAGTATGGAACTGGGGAGTTGAAGCCCAGAATAAACAGAAGGACCATGGATTCTTTAAGCCATGAAGAAAGAGCTGCATACATTTTGTTTGTGGTTCCTGCTGCAGTAGGCAGACAGGCTGAGGTAAGCTATATGCTCTTGCATTGAAGTCCTGGCCTAGACTCCATCTCCAACCTGTTTTAAAAAGTGTCCAAATGTAAATCTCTACCCAAGAACACTGTCCAAAAACATGAGTTAACATAGACAGCATTCTACTGGGCATCAGATGTCCTGCTGGCATCTGATAATCCACATGTATAAAAGAGAAAAGCATCTTCTATCTCCTTGCCCCCAGCAGGTACACCTATGCACCCCACTTAATTTAACAGGGTCATCTTGCAGTGCTAGAGTTTTCTTTTGTTTTTAGAAATATTAATGTCTGGTGAACTTGTTGTCCAAAGCTCAGAATTGCTTATCTCACTGTAAAGTCCTCCATGGTCTTGGGTTGTTTCTAAGCAGTAGCAGTCATTCTCCCCACTCCCTCTCATGAAAACTTGTATCCATTTGTTACCTCTCACCACGTTTTAGCAATTGTCTGTAGACAATCTCTACCAACATCACTCATCTCTGTATTCCCAGATTCTGAAAGTGACTGAGCTACATTGCTATTAGATGCTCAGTACTTCTTTGCTGAATGATGGGATGCATGCAAGCCTATTCACTAGCAGGCAAGGCCATCAGTGAGAAATGAAACATCACAATTGGAACATCACATTTGACAGGAATAAAGCATTATGCTGATGGAGGAGATGGAGCTGTTCAAGCAGGACTTAGAAGAAGCTCTTATTGCAGCCATTCTGTGCAGATTCCTTATCTTGTGTTATGTGAATACCAGTGTGCCAGTCAAGGCTCAGTCAGAGAAGCAGAATCTCCATGGTGTGGATGTCCTGCAGAGTCCTGTGCTCCTTGATGTTTAAACACACACCTGGCTCAATAGTCAGAGAAGCTGAAGGAGGAGCCAGGGGAAGGTGAAGCAGGTGTGGGACCAGCTGCAGACTCATTTCCACAGGTGAGTCAGCAGATGAGCAATTGTGGCTGACCTCCAAGATGACTGCCACTGTCTTTCTGCCTCCAGGTCTCCCCATGGCCCACCCTGACTGGAAACATAGAGGAAAGGGTGTTCTAGAAAGTGTGGTTTAGCATAGCCAAGTTAACAAAGACACCAAACACAAGAGCATTGATAATGGAGTTTAAAAGGGTGATCCTGGTTGTTCTAAGGTTTGGTTACTCGTTTTGGAGCTGGATACCTGATGCATCGAAAAGATGTTGAGTTTCCTGCAATAGTCCCATGAATACATTATTTGTTAATTTTGTGGCCCTCTGTCACTCTAATAAAAGACAACTTAAATCTTAGGCTTCAGCTATAAAAGCCTCTATTAATGCATTCGAGCTGTGGAGAAGCAGGATCAAGGTCAAGTGTGACAGAGCCCTTCCCCGTAGAAGGGAACTCTTGATGACCAGCTGGCCCTTGCTCAGAGGGTGATCCAGTGTTCTAAACACAGTGGGGCCAGAATAGCTGAGTCCAATCGAACCATGAGGCTTTGCTTTACTGGATGTACCCTGAGGATGAAGTTATCAATTAATAATAGGTGAGTAGATAGATGGATGAATACATGTGTAGCTAAGTGTATGTAATATAAAAGCAAAATAATTGCTCAAAATTATGGCTATTCTTAGTGTTGAATTTTTTCTGTGTATTGTCATACAAAGAACCACATGTGATCAAATAAGCAGTGTCCTCAGCAACATTCTGACAGTACTCACAATACTAAGTTTCACAGGATCACTCCTTATTGTGACCTTCTGTTTAATCAAATGGCACCACACAAAAGCACAGTTTAATAAAGTGGTTTACTGGGGCCCAGGAAGATGTAGCTGAGCCAGAACATTTTAATACACAAAACAGTGTGTTTCTATTTTTCTGCTACTATTTTTTTCTCCCTATTCTTACCCAGTTAAACCTTAGAGAAGGGTTATTAGGGCCTTTGAAGTTTTAAAAGTCTAATTCTAATTCATTTAGAAAAAAAGCAGCATGTTGGGGCAGAACATGGTTTCTACCTCCAGTGACATGCCCCCCAAGGTTCCCCAGGCTATGAAGATGAAAAAGGCTGAGAGGCACATGGCACAGAGCAGAGGGTGTCAAAATCAGGGCTGAGGTCTCCTTGAGGCTTCATGGAGACAAAGAGGCAAAAGAGGAAACAATGACTCAGCCAGAACAATTTAGAACATGTTGCACTAAAAAACAACCCCCAAATCTCAGAGGCTTCAAATACCAAAGTTCATGTCTTATTTATTGTATGCACCCAAGGGTGTCCTTGGCAGGGCTTTGCTCATTCCAGGTATGCGGAGACCTGGGCTGACAGAGCAGCTACCATATTGAATGTTGCCAGCTGCTATGTCAGAGGAAGAGAAATCACTGTTCTCAAGCTGAGAGTTAAATCCTCCAGCCAAGGTGATGTCTATCCCATCTGATCAAAGCTCACTGGACGGAGCTAGTCAGATAGCCCCACTCAACCTCAGGGGTCCAGAGGAACCATCCTACAAGTGCCTGGAAAGAGGAAAGAAGTGTCTATATATTGGCAGCACCGATGAAAACCCCTGTCAGCATCCAGAAATAGCCTGACCTCCATCTGAATAAGCACCATAAAAGCACATCCTGAGCCTTCCTGGCCTCAGTTTCCTCCTGGGCAAGTGCTGTGCTTCACCTATATGGGGGTGCCGATTTCAATTTCCTCCCCATTGTGATCCAGGAAGACCTCTACAGACAGTAGCCAGTAAGTTGCCTATTGACTTTCATGCAGGAGTTAAGTCCCTCAGTCCAAAGTATGCTGCTTGTTTCTCTGCAAAAGTGGCCCAGGATTCTAAGTCCTTAAAAGAAAGAATGGGGCCTAGGGCACTGTGGCAGTGATGTGAAAGAGAAAGATTATTTTGGGTGAAAATGGAAAGGTTCCCCCTGAGGTGATAGCTTCCTATAGCTGTAGTCATTCATTTACAAAACACTAATTTGCAGGGGTGTATCTTTCAGATTCTGCGGTAGGCAATGAGGCATTTTGCTACACTTACTCATGGGAAAATATTCCAGTCTTTTGAGGATGTGCAATGAGGTTGTATTGATGAAATTTTCAAGATTTCATTTAATTCTAACAATTTTATGGTAAGTCTGAGTGATATTTTGTATATCCATGCAAGCAAGATTGTGTAATAATAAAACACACAGATTTTAAAGTCAGACAGAATTTAGTCAAATTCTGTCCCTAGATAGCCTGTCACACCTCAGATGATGTACTTCATCTCTCTTAACTTTTCTCATGCAAAATAAAAATGATTTTTATATTGCAGGGTTGGCTTTGCTTACCTTAAAGTGGAGATAATATTTATATTAGTATCGACCCTAGAATTAATATTTATATATATAAACTGATTAACAGAACATGGTGGTACATTGGAGAAATGATTATTACATTATAGCTATTATATCTATTAATCTGTAACATGTATATTGATTAATTTCAACAATCATTTATTCATTCCTGCTGCTGATGAAGCCTTACAGAGATGAATCAGATTTGTTTTGGGGGCCCTCAGATCTCCCTGTTAAGTGATGTTTGTTTAAGATGCATGCAATGCTCTACCCTGCAGAGAGTGGACTCATAATGGAGGTGAACTTACATGGAGGAATTGGTGAGAATCACAGTCATTGCTAATATTAGGTGAAGACAGGAGATGTGTAAGGACAAAAAGAAGGAGCTGCCCAACATTGAAAAGAAGATACTGAAGTGTGAATATAGCCAATATGGAAAGGGGCAATATAGAGAGTTTGGAATTGATAAAGGAAAAACAATGGAAAGAAATCATCAGAGAAATTTAAATGAACTAACAAAATAATATGGAGACAGACATTTGTTCAAATCTTTACAACATTATAACAAAATAAGCTATTTGAGGTGGAGTGAGTTCCCTGAATCTCAGTGCTATACCTAAAATACAAGAGTTCTAAATCTATCACACAACATCTAGAATACAATAGGTATTTAATAAGTGCTTTTTTGTTATTTCTGAATTGACTTTGTTAGATTATAGACATATTATCAATGAAAATTATGCCATTTAATTTTCTTTTTTTTTTTTCTTTTTTTTTATTATACTTTAAGTTTTAGGGTACATGTGCACATTGTGCAGGTTAGTTACATATGTATACATGTGCCATGCTGGTGCACTGCACCCACTAACTCATCATCTAGCATTAGGTATATCTCCCAATGCTATCCCTCCCCCCTCCCCCCACCCCACCACAGTCCCCAGAGTGTGATATTCCCCTTCCTGTGTCCATGTGATCTCATTGTTCAATTTCCACCTATGAGTGAGAATATGCGGTGTTTGGTTTTTTGTTCTTGCGATAGTTTACTGAGAATGATGGTTTCCAATTTCATCCATATCCCTACAAAGGACATGAACTCATCATTTTTTATGGCTGCATAGTATTCCATGGTGTATATGTGTCACATTTTCTTAATCCAGTCTATCATTGTTGGACATTTGGGTTGGTTCCAAGTATGTTTATTGCGGCATTATTCACAATAGCCATTTAATTTTCTTAATGTCTTTTTAAACAGTAGAAATCATACATTAGATGTTAAACTTTTTATTAATATTGATTTTTACTCCATAATCCTGTTTCTAGAAATATACCTTTAAGATTCATTATATATGTGTCTACAGATTCACTGTCATGATGTTCATCTTAACTACAAAAATGTTGTAAATAGCCTAAATATCCTCTATCCCAGATGTGTGTGTGTGTGTGTGTGTGTGTGTGTGGTCGGGGTGGGGGGGGTGGGTGGGAGGAGACGGAGGAATTTCAATAATTTATGGTACATCCATTCAATAAAACATTGTGCAGACGTTAAAATTTAAGGTTTAGAATATTCAATCACAGGAAAGGTAAGTCACTTTCCTCTTTCCACTTCTATGAAACCATGCTTTCACACTGCCCCTGCCCCTGACCTCACTGACCTCTCCTGCTTCCATCCACTTCATTGACTGTTGTTTCTCTTGCCAACTGCTGAACTCCTCCGAGGGTCTCCTCTGATATCATATGTACCTTGTTCTATAAATCCAGGGCCAACGTCAGTGCCAAAGTCAATGTCCCACATTCATATCTTCAGTTCAGGCCTCTTCTGTGAACTCCAGATAAGCAGACCTCATGACCTACCTAAAACCTCCACTTGGATGTTTCACAGCATCTCAAATCGCACATACCTAAAAATGAAGCTCTCAATTTCCCCATCCCTACCTCCCCTCAAAGAAAAGCAACTCAAAGTTAGTCTTCCCCTAGCCGGATCCATATCAGTCAGCATCACCACCTTTTTAAAAACCTTGAAGACATAACTGACCACCGACATCCAGCCATTAGCATAGATAACTGGTCTATTTCCAAAGTATATCTCAGAAGTTTGTATTTTTCCCCATCCCTGATGCTACCAATGCAGGCCTCGCCACCATGGCACGTTGCCTGGACTACTGCAATAGCTTCCTAATTGGTCTCTCAGCTTCTGATTTGTCCCCTCACAATATGTTCTCCAGACATTGGTCAGAGGGATGTTTCCTTTAAAAAATGATAAGATTAAGTAACACACTCTCTTGCTTAAAATCCATTCATGGCTTCCTCCTTTATTTAAAGTAAAAATTATCTTTTGCTTAAAAGACCCTATTCTTCTTATCCAATTTGACTTCTTAATTTCTTCTGTTTCCACCCTACTGCCCTCCGCCAGTCCCTCCTGCATACCAAGGTCCTTCCCACACCAAGGCCTACAGGGTTGCTATCCGCTTCACTGAGGCCACTATTCTGGCTGCCACCATGTTCCCAAACCCTCTGGTCTCAGGCTGCACTCCAGCTATATTAGTCTTTGCTTCTGAACTTTTTCCTCATCAGAATACTTTACTGTAAGCTCTAATGTTAAGTTTCCTGGCTGCTGTCTCCCTCTGTGCCCTGTCAGTTCTAGGAGGACATGGGAACTATTAATCACCACTGCATCCCCAGGGCTGGAGAGGCCTACACAAAGGGGGCATTCACACATGCTTTATAAAT
The DNA here is from genome assembly GCF_000001405.40 of Homo sapiens. Taxonomy (NCBI): domain Eukaryota; kingdom Metazoa; phylum Chordata; class Mammalia; order Primates; family Hominidae; genus Homo; species Homo sapiens. The sequence continues at coordinate 85,406,596 of NC_000010.11, forward strand.
GAATAGATTGTTAATCAATGCTAAAAATCAGATTTCCAAATAGGATCATCCTACTATATTGGTAAAACCAGAAGTATGAAGGGAGTGATTGTGTGTGTGTAAAAGGATTGGAAAGATTAAAACCAGAATATTAACCCTGGTAATTGATGAGTGAGGCATTATTTATGGAAGATTTGGGTCTTTTTTCTATTTTCCAAAGATTCTACATTACATATATGATTTGGATCATGGGGGGAAGATGTTATTTTTTAAAAGATGCCAAATTTAAGTGAAAGTTTTCAGTAGGCAGGTGTGGCCTGGCCGATCTCTGGAGGTCATTGGTAAATGCTCTGGTTTCTGAGAATCTCTGTCTCAAGCAGACATAATGAGCACATCCTTGAGTTTGGCCAATTTGCTGATTTTAATTTGCTCAGGAGTGAATCCACTTCCCCGAGGCTCGACTTCATCCCCCCACATTTCCTTCCTAGTAAGGTGAAGAGTCCCTGGCACCCTCCTGCTTCTCTCTCATGCACCCTCCTGCTTCTCTCTCATTTGGGGTTTTTCTTATCCCTTGCAATAATTGCCAAATGTTAACCCTGGATCAGAGGACAGAAAGGAGATAATGCCTTGAGCTTAATTCAACCTGCATTTTAACAAGCTACCTTCTGGTTTCACAGGATACACCCCACAGAGGCGATTACAGAAGCCTGCCTCCCTGCCTTGCTTTCTCCCCACTGAGCCTCTGATCTCTCACCCGCAGGAGCTGTCCTGCCCCAATTCCCAGGGCAGTCAGGTGGCAGGGCCCTGAATCACCCTCCCCAAGGACTGACCTAGAACAGGGAGTTCGAACACAATGACAGACTCTAAAGGCCTAGACTCCCCCTCTTTCAGCAGGAATCATGGAATACCACTGTAGGGCTGGCCTCAGACTTTTGTATCCATTTCCACCTACAGGCACTTACCCCACATTAGTTACACATGAAATGTTTGAAGTTCTCTGCAAGCTAACTCAGGTTACCTCATGTGATCATGTTACTTTTTTTTAATGCTTCTTCTTATAATATGCGTAACTTCTCCTTGCTTCTTTCCAAATTAAAGTTACGTTTATCCTTAACTGCTCATCTCAAGAATCCTCCTGGGAAGCTTCCTGAGTGCTCTTTGCTGTGCCTTCCCTGTCCTTTCTGCATGCCCAACTAAACTAACTCACTTTGTCCTGGACCAGTGGAGGCAACTGGCTTCTAACAGACCTCACCAGCACTTGCACATACGAACCAGCCTCCAACTACTAGGGAAAGAGCACGTGCTCCTGGCAAGGCACAAAATTGTTCTTTGTACAGTTCCTCCGTCATCTTCCAGGAACTCTGCTCCTTAACTCTCCACTCTTTGTCCAATATCGGAAGCATCACATTTCCAACATTAGCTTTGGCCCATCGAATTTGGAGGCCTGTTTGGACTCGATGGATACCACTCCCAGCTAGACATGGAGCAACCTTTGCTCTGTGGAGTTTGGAATTAACACTCGAAGTGACAGGCACTCTCAAAGCTACACACATTCTCCTCTCTGCCATGGGACAGAAATTTGGCAGCAGGTGAGTTGTATCTGTTTACATTTTTGACTCCCCCAGCATACAGAGTTCTCTCAGGGCAAAGACCTGTCCCCATTCTGTGTGTTACCCATGTTTGGCAGAGTGCTCCAAAGCTGGAGGAGAAGGCTGGGAGGATTTGGTACATGAAGGACTCCTCATATTCCCTAATTGGTTCTCCTTGCTACACAGAGGCTGACTGTGAGTCTCAATGGGGATCTTCGGGCTCCACATTCCTAAAGCAGAGATCACTGGCTTCATCTCATTGCTGCGATGAGATGGGGTGCAGAATGGAGCCCCTGTATAGCCGCTAGGCCCCAATACATGGCCTCATGGCAGTGGACTTCTGTCTTGATCTGTGTGTGTGTGTGTATGTGCATGTGATGTACATGTGTGTGTATATGTGTGTGTGTGTGTATTTGTGTGTGTTTGTATATTTGTGTGTGTGTTTGTGTATTTGTGTGTATGAATATTTATGTGCGTGTGTGCATATTTATGTGTGTGTGTGTGTGTGTGTGTGTGTGTGTAAAGGGCTCTACCTCACTATTGAATCCCAGGTTTCTTGCCTAGACTCTGGTTATTGGCTGCCTGCATTTTAACCTGGATCCAGTTATTGGTTCTCCCCTCACTTGGTGTCTCTAAATCCCCAATAGAGCTAAAGATCGTCATGCAGTGGCTTTTTAAAAAATATTCCCATGTAAATAAATCATTTTGATATAAATCATGGTAATAGTAATGACCAGAAAGAAAAGCACAGACAGGGAAAATATTGTTTTAAATTTCAACTAATTGTGAATTTTTGTAGATAAGTGTAAAATACCTGTTTCACTGTTTTAAAATTCAAACATAAACTTCAATGAAGTAACTCAACTTCTATTTGATTGTCTCCAAAATTACCATTAATTTCTAATTTACCACTTAAACACAGGCACTTGGAGTAGCACAGGGCTGAGAGGGATCGGCTGCAGTAGAAATGAGGTCAAATGACTGCCAACTTTTTTCTTTATTAAGTTCCAGGGTACATGTGCAGGATGTGCAGGTTTGCAACATAGGTAAACATGTGCCATGGTAGTTTGCTGCACCTATCATCCTGTCACCTAGGTATTAAGCCCAGCATGCATTAGCTATTTTTCTTAATTCTCACCCTCCCCCAGCTCCACCCCTCTGACAGGCCCCAATGTATGTTTTTCCCCTCCCTATGTCCATGTGCTCTCCTTGTTCAGCTCACATTTATAAGTGAGAACATGTGGTGTTTAGTTTTCTGTTCCTGCATTAGTTTGCTTAGGATAATGGCCACCAGTTCCCTACATGTCCCTGCAAAGGACATAATCTCATTCATTTTTATGGCTGCATAGTATTCCATGGTGTTTATATACCACTATTCCTTTAATAGATCAGTCTATTATTGATGGGCATTTGGGTTGATTCCATGTCTTTGCTATTGGGAATAGTACTGCAATGAACATACTTGTGCATGTATCTTTGTAATGGAATGATTTATATTCTTTTGGGTATATACTCAGTAATGGGATTGCTGGATCAGATGGTATTTCTGGTTCTAGATCTTTGAGGAATCACCACATCGTCTTCCCCAATGGTTGAACTAATTTACATTCCCACCAAAAGTGTAAAAGCGTTCCTATTTCTCCACAACCTCACCAGCATCTGTTGTTTCTTGACTTTTTAATAATCGCCATTCTGACCGGCATGAAATGGTATCTCATCGTGGTTTTGATCTGCATTTCTCAAATGATCAGTGATGTTGAGCTTTTCTTCATGTTTGTCGGCCACATGAACGTCTCCTTTTGAGAAGTGTCTGTTCATGTCCTTTGCCCTCTTTTTAATGGGTTTTTTATTCTTGCAAATTTTTTTGAGTTACATGTAGATTCTGGATATTAGAGCTTTGTCAAATGGATAGATTTCAAAAATTTTCTCCCACTCTGTAGGTTGCCTGTTTGTGCTGATGTATTACAGGAAGTCAGGGACCCCGAACGGAGGGACCCGCTGGAGCTGCAGCAGAGGAACATAAATTGTGAAGATTTCATCTTAATATGGAAAATATGGAAATTTTCAGTTCTCAAATAATGCTTTTATAATTTCTTGTGCCTGTCTTTACTTTAATCTCTTAATCCTGTTATCTTCGTAAGCTGAGGATGTACATCACCTCAGGACCACTGTGACAATTGTGTTAACTGTATAAATTGATTGTAAAACATGTGTGTTTGAACAATATGAAATCAGTGCACCTTGAAAAAGAACAGAATAATAGCAATTTTTATGGAACAAGGGAAGACAACCATAAGGTCTGACTGCCTGCAGGGTCGGGCAAAAATAGCCATATTTTTCTTCTTGCAGAGGGCCTATAAATGGATGTGCAAGTAGGAAACATATCACTAAATTCTTTTCCTAGCAAGGAATATTAATATTAATACCCTGGGAAAAGAATGTGTTCCTGGGAGGAGGTCTATAAACAGCCACTCTGGGAATGTTTGTCTTGTGCAGTTGAGATAAGGACTGAGATAAGCCCTGGTCTCCTGCAGAACCCTCAGGCTTATTAGGGTGGGGAAAAACCCCACCCTGGTAAATTTGTGGTCAGACTGGTTCTCTGCTTTCGAACCCTGTTTTCTGTTGTTTAAGATGTTTATCAAGACAATACATGCACCACTGAACATAGACCCTTATCAGTGGTTCTGCTTTTGCCCTTTGCCGTGTTCCCTCAGAAGCATGTGATCTTTGTTAGTCCCTTATCAGTGGTTCTGCTTTTTGCTCTTTGAAGCATGTGATCTTTGTACCTACTCTCTGTCCTGACACCCGGTACCCTTTTGAAACCCTTAATAAAAACTTGCTGGTCTGAGACTCAGGTGGGCATCATGGTCCTACCAATATGTGATGTCATCCCTGGCAGCCCAGCTGTAAAATTCCTCTCTTTGTACTGTCTCTCTTTATTTTTCAGCTGGCCGACAATTATGGAAAATAGAAAGAACCTACGTTGAAATATTGGGGGCAGGTTCTCCCAATACTGATGATAGTTTCTTTTGCTGTGCAGAAAGCTCTTTAGTATCCCATTTGTCAATTTTTACTTTCATTGCCATTGCTTTTGATGCTTTTGTCATGAAACCTTTCCCAGTGTATATGTCTTGGATGGTATTGCCTAGATTTTCTTCTAGGGTTTTTATAGTTTGGGCTTTTACATTCAAGTCTTTAATTCATAATAAGTTAACTTTTATGTAAGGTGTAAGGAAGGGGTCCAGTTTCAATCTTCTGCATACCGCTAGCCAGTTCTCCCAGCACCATTTATTAAATAGGGAATCCTTTCCCCATTGCTTGTTTCTGTCAGGTTTGTCAAAGATCAGATGATTGCAGATGTAAGGTCTTATTTCTGAGTTCTCTATTCTGTTCCATTTGTCCATGTGTCTGTCTCTTTGAAGTATAGTTTGAAGTCAGGTAACATGATGCTTCCAGCTTTGTTCTTTTGGCTTAGGATTGTCTTGGCTACACGAGCTCTCTTTTGGTTTCTTATCAATTTTAAAATAGCATTTTCTAATTCTATGAAGAATAAATGACTGCCAACTTTAAGAACTTACTCTGACAATAACAACATGTAGCTGAGTCTATAGGTGCCTGGGGCCAAATGTATAACTGGTGTTTCTCAAAATTAATATGACGGTTGTTAAATATAATGTTTATTGAAAGATAAGTAGAAAAACTCAACAATAACTGGATCAATTGTTTATAACTTAGATCACAAAATAACTGGGAAGGGGAGAACATTTTCTTACTGAAATTGTTTAGAATTGGTGGAGCATGGGGATAATAGAGTTATGGGGTGAATTGCGCTTCCCCCATATCTATATATTAAAGCCCTCACCCCTGGCACCTTACAATATGACTGTATTTGGAGATAAAGCTTTTAAAGAGGTAATTTGGGTAAAATGGGGCCATTAGGGTGGGGCCTAATCCAATATTATGACGGGTGTTCTTATAAGAAGAGGAAATTTGAACACACAAAGAGACACCAGGGATAGATGATCACAGAGGGGAGACCAGGTGAAGACATGGTGAGAAGACAGCCGTCTGCAAGCCACAGAGAAAAGTCTTAGGAGAAATCAACCTGCCCACACCTTGATCTTGGACTTCCAGCCTCCAGAACTGTATGAAAATTAATTTCTGTTGTTTAAGCTGCTCAGTCTTTGATACTTTGTGATGGCAGCCTAAGAAAACGGATACAAATATAAAACATTGATTTTCAGAACACTGCAGTGTTCTTTTTATTTACAAACAATGCAGCCCAGGGTAGACTCTGCCTCCTGCTTTCTCCATCCAATGCTGCTTGTCCCTATACTCTATGGAGGATGCCCAGGGGCCCTCCAGTCTGAACTGACAGCTCCAGGGCCAAACAATGTTGGTCCTCTTGCTACAAGGAAACCATAATTTCCTGAAAATCCTGAAAGATAACTGGAGCATGCAGCTGTTCCATAGAAAATACCCACCCCAGTCACAGAGGCAGAGACATATTCCAGAAGATATTAATACATGTCCAGGGATGGCAGTGGTTGTGGAGACTGTTCCATGGGTGGTGCCCATGGGAGAGACCGTGGGGCCACAGGCAAGATGCTTCCCACACCTGCTCCATGCAGGAGGTCATGAAAGCAAATACAGAATTGTCTACAGAGATGTTCCATACACACAGCCTTAGAGGCATCGACAGATGGTACAGAGAAAAATGCCCCTATCTGCGACCACACACTCACCCAGGGATTGATCTCAGATGCAACCTGAAACAGGAGCCAGACATGACACCAGTGATCTTCAGATACCAGTGAGTATTTCAGGAAACACACTCTTGTCTGGAGATCAAAGAAGCCCAGCAAATGTTTCACTAAAGGTGGCCTGCAGAGATGATCCCCAAAGCTCAGGACAATGACATCCCAAGGTCAGAGAAAGGAGCAGGAAGGCCCCAGATAGCACTCTTTGCAGAATTTCCATCTAGAGGACTGTCGCTCTATCTCCCGTCTTAGCTTGGCACCCAGCTCCTTTTCTCTCTGCCAAGAGATGGGCCCTCTGTCCTCAAGGTGCAGACACAATTTCTGAGTTTGCTTGAGAATGCTATCCTCATCCCCTGGGCTTAAGTCAGAAGGCAGGGCATTGTCACAGGATGTGGATTGGAGGCTTTTCATAAGGAATAAAAGTTTGCAAAGGCTAGATAAAGTCCAGGAAAGCAGATCAGGGTTGAATGGGCTGAAGATGTTTTCCTTGCAACCTCCAACACTATTCTCTGCTTTTTTCTAAGCATGTTAGCACTTCTCTAAAACTGAATAATATTACAAATTATAAGTAATTACCCATGTGAGGAATGATTGGTAACAAAGGCAAAGGACAGAGAGGTACAGGCAAGGTTTATCCAGGAAGTGCTAGTTGGACTGCAGGGAGCTCAGGCCTTCCATGAATATCTTTTTTCCTCCTCCCATGATGCAGCCACCCACATTCCCAACCACCTCCTCACTCTCCACTCCTGCACCTGATTCAGAGCCCCTCTCTGACTCTCATGTTCGCTCTCTCTTTCTTTATTACCCAGTGCTGCAGTGGTAATAATTGCATTTATAGTCCGGGTCATTATGATGCCTCTGGGGATCCCACTGCTGAGCTCATTCAGGCTGGCAGTTGCTTGGGAGAGGCAAACGCCCCAAAGGGAACTCAGACAGTTTTCAATTATAGATCAGTAGAAATCCCCCTGCTGAGTGTGCACCTTTGGAACACGTGTAGGCAAGCAGGGGCAGGGCCAACGGGTGGGAGGAGAGCTTCAGTAGATGTGATGCATTGGGAATTTCTATCCAACTCCCCCTGGCCTCTCCATCTATTAGCACCTGCCTGCAATGGCATAGAAAAGATAAGGGCAACAGATGCAGTTACCTCTATGGGGAGAGAGGTTTTGTTATTGATATCGGGTTTTAAATTGCCAAGGCATTATGGTAATAAAAAGCAGACCAACTTTTAGTTGATATTAGTATTGCTTTTAAATTTCCTGCAAAGAATGCACCTCTTTATGATGGGCGCCCAGAACAGACTTCCCCACTGCCCAATCCTTGACATGCTACTGTCAACCTGGGCATCAGTACCCTTGCACACTAGTAAGCATAGCCAATCACTATCTCAGACCAATCAGATTGGCATCTCCATTTCCCAAGATGTGGATAATGGAAAAGCTGCAAAAAAAAAAAAAAAAAAAAAAAAAAAAAAAAGTCCCTTGAACAAGGGACAAGCTAACAAATCTTCCTCCATGTAGTACTATAAAATTCCTTCAGAAAAAACAAAAACAAATTAGGGCCAACAGAGATGCCTGGGGGGACCTGGACTTCTTGCAGTGATAGAAAATGTGATTTCCCAGTTAACACAGTGGTTTTCAAACCTTGATCATATTCATCTATTTACTTCTAGACAAGTTCCCATGATTTTTTTCCATCAGACCAATAAATGATTCTGCTCTCTGAATACTTAGGGTCTCACTTTCCTCCTTAGATGGTTTGTGCTTGGCAAAAGAAAAAAAAGTGCACGAAAACAGAGTTGGGAGAAGTTGAAAGGACTCTAAAATGAAAGAAAGGAGACACAGTTTCTAATTCTGGCTCTCCCATTCACTAACTGGGGGACCATGTATATAAGTCAGCTCAGCCTGCTACAAAAAAATAGCTAACTAATTGGCTCACACAACAGAAATAAATTTGTTAGGCTAGAATTCCCAAGTCAGGGTATAGCAGGGTTGGTTTCTGGGGCTCTCTTCTTGACTTGCTTTCTCATCTTCTTGCTGTGTCTTCACAAGTCAGGGCCGGATTAGAGTGGGGGAAGTGGAGAGAGAGAGAGAGAGACCGAGAGGAAGAGAGAGAGAGAGAGAGAGAGAGCTCTGACTCTTCTTATGAGAACATTAATCCTATCAAATCAGGGCACCATCTTTATGACATCATTTAACTTAATTCCTTAATGACTTCCTCAGAGGCCCCATCTCTAAATATAGCCACATTAGGCATTAGGGCTTCAACATATGAATTTGGGGGTGATGCAAACATTCAGTCAATGACACCATAAAAATCATCTTCACCTCTCTTAGCTTTAAACCAAAAAAAGTCCAGGACCAGAGGGATTCACAGCCGAATTCTACCAGAGGTACAAGGAGGAGTTGGTACCATTCCTTCTGAAACTATTCCAATCGATAGACAAAGAGGGAATCCTCCCTAAATCATTTTATGAGGCCAGCATCATCCTGATACCAAACTGAGGCAGAGACACAACAAAAAAAGAGAATTTTATACCAATATCCTTGATGAACATTGATGCAAAAATCCTCAATAAAATACTGGCAAACCGAATCCAGCAACACATCAAAAAGCTTATCCACAATAATCAAGTGGGCTTCATCCCTGGGATGCAAGTCTGGTTCAACATACGAAAATCAATAAACGTAATCCAGCATATAAACAGAACCAAAGACAAAAACCAAATGATTATCTCAATAGATGCAGAAAAGGCCTTTGACAAAATTCAACAACCTTCATGCTAAAAACTATCAATAAATTAGGTATTGATGGGACGTATATCAAAATAAGAGCTATCTATGACAAACCCACAGCCAATATCATACTGAATGGAAAAAAACTGGAAGCATTCCCTTTGAAAACTGGCACAAGACAGGGATGCCCTCTCTCACCACTCCTATTCAACATAGAGTTAGAAGTTCTGGCCAGGGCAATCAGGCAGGAGAAGGAAATAAAGGGCATTCAATTAGGAAAAAAGGAAGTCAAATTGTCCCTGTTTGCAGATGACATGATTGTATATCTAGAAAACCCCATCGTCTCAGCCCAAAATCTCCTTAAGCTGATAAGCAACTTCAGCAGTCTCAGGACACAAAATCAATGTGAAAAAACCACAAGCATTCTTACACACCAATAACAGATAAACAGAGAGCCAAATCATGAGTGAACTCCCATTCACAATTGTTTCAAAGAGAATAAAATACCTAGGAATCCAACTTACAAGGGATGTGAAGGACCTCTTCAGGAAGAACTACAAACCACTGCTCAGTGAATAAAAGAGGATACAAACAAGTGGAAGAACATTCCATGCTCATGGGTAGGGAGAATCAATATCGTGAAAATGGCCATACTGCACAAGGTAATTTATAGATTCAATGCCATCCCCATCAAGCTACCAATGACTTTCTTCACAGAATTGGAAAAAACTACTTTAAAGTTTATATGGAACCAAAAAAGAGCCTGCATTGCCAAGTCAATACTAAGCCAAAAGAACAAAGCTGGAGGCATCACGCTACCTGACTTCAAACTATACTACAAGGCCACAGTAACCAAAACAGCATGGTACTGGTACCAAAAAAGAGCCTGCATTGCCGAGTCAATCCTAAGCCAAAAGAACAAAGCTGGAGGCATCATGCTACCTGACTTCAAACTATACTACAAGGCTACAGTAACCAAAACAGCATGGTACTGGTACCAAAACAGAGATATAGATCAATGGAACAGAGCAGAGCCCTCAGAATTAATGCTGCATATCTACAACTATCTGATCTTTGACAAACCTGACAAAAACAAGAAATGGGGAAAGGATTCCCTATTTAATAAATGGTGCTGAGAAAACTGGCTAGCCATATGTAGAAAGCTGAAACTGGATCCCTTCCTTACACCTTATACAAAAATTAATTCAAGATGGATTAAAGACTTACATGTTAGACCCAAAACCATAAAAACCCTAGAAGAAAACCTAGGCAATACCATTCAGGACATAGGCATGGGCAAGGACTTCATGTCTAAAATGCCAAAAGCAATGGCAACAGAAGCCAAAATTGACAAATGGGATCTAATTAAACTAAAGAGCTTCTGCACAGCAAAAGAAACCACCATCAGAGTGAACAGGCAACCTACAGAATGGGAGAAAATTTTTGCAACCTACTCACCTGACAAAGGGCTAATATCCAGAATCTACAATGAACTGAAACAAATTTACAAGAAAAAAACAAACAACCCCATCAAAAAGTGGGCGAAGGATATGAACAGATACTTCTCAAAAGAAGACATTTATGCAGCCAAAAAACACATGAAAAAATGTTCATCATTACTGGCCATCAGAGAAGAGATACCATCTCACACCAGTTAGAATGGCAATCATTAAAAAGTCAGGAAACAACAGGTGCTGGAGAGGATGTGGAGAAATAGGAACACTTTTACACTGTTGGTGGGACTGTAAACTAGTTCAACCATTGTGGAAGTCGGTGTGGCAATTCCTCAGGGATCTAGAACTAGAAATACCATTTGACCCAGCCATCCCATTACTGGATATATACCCAAAGGACTATAAATCATGCTGCTATAAAGACACATGCACACGTATGTTTATTGTGGCACTATTCACAATAGCAAAGACTTGGAACCAACCCAAATGTCCAACAATGATAGACTGGATTAAGAAAATGTGGCACATATACACCATGGAATACTATGCAGCCATAAAAAATGATGAGTTCATGTCCTTTGTAGGGACATGGATGAAGCTGGAAGCCATCATTCTCAGCAAACCATCGCAAGGACAAAAAACCAAACACCGCATGTTCTCACTCATAGGTGGGAATTGAACAATGAGAACACATGGACATAGGAAGGGGAACATCACATACCGGGGACTGTTGTAGGGTGGGGGGAGGGGGGAGGGAATAGCATTAAGAGATATACCTAATACTAAATGATGAGCTAATGGGTGCAGCACACCAACACGGCACATGTATACATACGTAACAAACCTGCACGTTGTGCACATGTTCCCTAAAACTTAAAGTATCATAATAATAATAAAAGTGGGTAAATACTTGCCTTAAATCATCAACAAGTGAGAAAACAATGGAAAGCAACATAGCTAGAAATGTAGAGAGCATGATACCCACTAAAAAATTATTATCATCATTATTATGCCAGCTTCAGATTACTAAAGTTTTGCACTGTGAAAAACCAAACTTAAAGATTTCTGAGTTCAGTCTCTGTGATGTAGCAAGGAGGAAAGTGGAGCAGAGGAATTTAGTATCAGAAAAATAAACTTTGGAGTCAGATGGGTTCAAATCATGATCTATTAGCTGTGTCATACTCTAATATTACTACAGTTAGTATCAGTTGCCTCACTTGTTTAAGAAAAATAGTTCTTTTCTCATGATGATGAAACAAAAAGAACTGGAGTAATCACATCTCTTGTTGTGCACCCTGATTTTTCTTGTCCATGTAGTTTAGATTGGACTATATCCAGCCTATCCACGGGGAATGGTCAGATGGACCATGCCTAAACCAATCACTGCTCTTCATGGCTTTGGCCATGATTATTGGATCAGGTGTGGGTGGATAACCCAACTTGATTCAACAACAACCCAAATGCTCAGTGATAAAGAGGCCCTCTCATCTTCTTTCTGTTGCTTCTGGAGGAAGGTACTCTGTAAGCTTGAAACTGCAACTACCATCTCATCATCTCAATTGAAGAGCCTGCCTGACATGGAGGCAATGGGAGCAGTCAGGGAAGCAGAGCTGGGAGATTCCGGGGTATTTCTTCCAAATGACCCATTTGAGCCCCTGGATCCAGCCATTCATTCTAAGAGTCAGCTCTTCACTAGTGTTTTCAGTTACATGAACCAATAAATTGCTTCCCATTTTTAAAAAGATATTTTGAGTTGCATTTCTTTTATTTGCAACAACAAAAAAGGAACAATTAACAGAGTAATTGGACTCAAGAGTGGGCTAGTAAAAGTTACAAACCCTAATAAGGAGAATGAATTTATCACTGGAAGTCCATAGGGACCCCTCCGTTCATGGCTGGGAATTTATCCTTTCATATCACACATGTAAGTGAATCACATAAGTTCATTTATACTCTGGGACTGGGACTATGCACCTACAGAGGCTAGAGTGTTAAGTGACTCTGTGAGGAATAAAACAAAAGAAAACTGCAAATGCTATCTTCTGGCTCTGTCTGCCAGTCTTCAATAAGGTTACATTGTTTTAAATCCCCTTAGTGCAGAACCAAAATGGAAGCCATTAAGGTCAGTTTTGAGAACACTGAAGCCTAAAGCTTCGAGAACAGAAAATCCTGGTGAAAGCTTTATATCCATGTAGTTATGTGAAAGAGAAGAACTAAAAGTGGCAGGTACAAGTCTGTGGTTCAATTCTCAGTTTCTAAGAGGATGCACTGCCTCCATGCCCCCCTGGTCCTGGGGGTCCCCCAACTTTACCTTGCATAGCCATTTGGTGCTTGCAGGAAAGCCTTCTTCTAAATCCCAGTAACAAAAGTTTTGTCTTCATTATTACTGCCCTTACCAGGTCCTGGAAGACAGGTACAGATCATTCTGTGGTCCACTTTGAACACGATGAAAACAGGACAAGAGAAGTGCAAGGAACCTATTTCCCCTCGGGAATTCAGTCAGGAGCCCACAGAAGAACTATGCCTAAGGGGGTATGCAATACCCACATGTGCCCCAGACATTCATGCTGAATCACAAATGAGTTTGCAATGAAGATACTTAAAATAAGTTCCCTGTAGCATCCAATGAGAGGAGGAAACAAAACTGTATAGTAAAAAGCAGCATAATTTCATGCTCAATTACGGCCAACCTTGAGAACAAAGCAGATTAAATGTTCTAATCCAACAAAGGAGATTTTTCAAAAGAACTTTAATAGTGAAACACGATGACTGACATCTCTCATACTTTTACCTTCAAAAATTTGCTTTCATTGGAAAGTTGACTGGCAGGATAATCAAGAACTAGTTAGAATCACTAACCATTGCCCATATGATGTGGGAGTCCCTTCACCGTCCCCACCAGAATTGCTTGTTCTCTTATGGTGGTATATTATAATACAAGTCATATCACAGAATTGAATGTGCACTTTACTTCTGCCCAACCCCAGGGAATGGTCAGCAGAAAGGATTAAGAGTTATGTTAAGGGGCTTAGCGCTGGTCCTTTGGAGGTGTGAGCATAGCTTGTTTAGCTTTTTCAGAGAGCTGAGGGAGAGAAAACACAGAGAAAAACACAGAGCTGAGGGAGAGAAACACAGAGAAAATTCTGCAGTTCTCTTCTTATCTCCTTGCTCTAGGGGTCCCACTTCCCATCATGCTGTGTGTCTTCCCCTGTGGTGGTGTACAAGATCAAGCAACTTCGTTTTTCCAGAACTATTATACTGCACCTTTGTTTTCAATTTATTCCTTTTTGTGAAAATCTGACTTTAATAATACAGGCTTTCAGTGCTGAAAGGATCCAGGAAAATCACTTGATACCAATGCACCTTCTTTTGCACTGTTGTTCAGCTTTGGAGGGCTGAACCAGCTTTGTGCAAGGCTGCAGAGCTGGGCCTGGAGTCCAGGTACTTTGTGAAATCAGCTCACTGTAATTTGCGCCCTGCCTCTGTGACCCTCTGTGACCTCCTGCTGCAACTGTCTTTAATAATCATGCTGAGGTGTCCCTTAACACTAGAAAAGGGGCATGCTGCTTTCCCACCAGGAAGTGTCCACTCATGCTCTCAAGGCAAGGAGGCGCCCAGGCTTCCAACCTGTGCTGAGGACTCTGGATCAAGAGAGGGGACCGGAACCAGGCCCACTCAATTCATGTAGCTGCTGCTTAGGGGAGCAGTCTGTGTAGGTCTGCATGGAGAAGAGTCAACCCCAGACCCCTGTCCTGAAGGGCTCATCAAATAAGGGAATCTTGTTTGCTGGGAGTCTTTCCAGAGAAATCCGACAGAGGTCAGTGGATCCTTTGACGCTTCCCATTGACTTTCCTCAGTGAAGCGAAGGAGATGGATCAACAGTGGGCGGGGAGATGCTTCCAGGCCTGTAGAACCTGATATTCAGCCCAGCCAGCCACCGGGAGACCCCTTTGGTTACCATGGAAACAGCTGCAGGAAGCCAAAGAGTAGATGGAATCCTTTAACTCAGTTTAAATGCAAATTCTGTGGGTAATTAAGTGGCAAACCACACTAAGAACATTATGGGAGATATACAGTCACTGGAAAGGTAATAAATGCCTGCCTTGAAATGGATATAATAAAAAATTTGACAGTTTGTCTCAGCAAGAAATTTTGTCTTTAAAACACCTCAACCTTTTCTACTTCCCCCTCCAGTTTTTGAAATTGTCATCTAGGTTTTAGAAAAAAAATACTAAAAATTCAGGCCTGCAATGCTTTTAAAACTCTCCTCATTAGCAGGTGTCTCCTATCTCCTCCACAGCTCTCACTGGAACTTTTCATGAGCTGGAGTTCCATGGACATTTCAGCTTCAATTTTCATGTTGTTTTTGAGGAATCAATTGGTTTGAATGGGAAAATGTTCTCTTCCGTTCGTCCTTCCTCAGACTTGTGCCTTAGGGTGAGCATGCACATGGAATCCTCAATTAATAGGCTCGGGGGGGTGCTCAGCCTTGTTCTTGAGAAACCCCACCTCCACCCCCAAACCGCCCTAACTCGCCTCCACAGGCCTCCGGTACTTTCCCAAGTAATTGAAAGTTTCCCCTCAATAAGCCCAAGCAGGAGCAGAAGAAAGAGTCTAATCAGGGTATATTCTGGCTGGGAATTAAAACTTCCACGATGTGCGCCCCTCCAGATGAACGGTCTGAATTAGGTCTGAAATGGCAGCAGGCTAGGCCTATGTGGCTGTACTTGAAAAAGTGGGCAGCTCCTTAACTAGAGTTTCATTGCTTTTTTACTGCTTTTTGACGCCTATGCACCTAATGAGGGGCTCTTCTCTCTGAGTGGCAGGGACTGTGATTGTGAGAGCACAGATTTCTGCAGAGTGGATCCCGCCCCCACACGCCTCAACTCCACAGCGCTCTACAGGTGTGATCCTTGCTGCCCCTTAGGCCTTTCCCAAGGAAGACCATGGCCTGACTGTGCCTTTTTTACATTATTAAGCCCACATTTTTTTTTAAACCAAGCTCTGCTTTCTGAGCTAAAATCCCACATTTTAAATTTCATATATTGAAGCAGGCCGCTTTAGAGCAGTCATAGAGTCCAGCTGAAAAGGTTGGGTTTTTAAAGGTGAATAAAATGATGGCGATGGAGAGAAGAGATTTTTTTTTAACTCCCTCCTTAGAAATCTCATTGCTTCTCTCTGCATAATTAAAATTTAAAAGGAGTCATAGGAGCTAAGAACTAGATGGGCTATTAGAATTTATCTAGCTGTGGTTTCTTAATTTAGGGCCCATATATTAGTGTCAAGATAATCATAAACACCTTGAAAAGTAGGATGCTGCCTGTTGCTGACATCAGGAGCTAAAATGGATCCATAACATTAAAAAATAAAAAGATGAGGAACTACTGCTCTATTATGACATCTAGTGCAAACAGGTGGTCCCCATTTATGAACTGTTGGATGAATGAATAACTAAAACTGTGTGATTAAGACTTCACTAATTCTCCTCCTATGCCTCTACATGTTCTGCTTCTACTTTTTCCTCTAGCGCCATCTCCTCCATCTATTTTTCTATTGGGCAGATTAACACATTCATTAACGAAAAGAGTGGGGGAAAGGCAAAATGGCAAATAAACAGAACTGGAAATAGGGATGTTGTTTCGGCATGTCATGTATGTCCTATAAACATACTCTCATCCACAGGGCATCTGACCCACTGTAGCTGGGAGAGTCCATGCAATCAAGGATGAAAGATTGTTGGTACAATCCTCAGGGCTGACCTCAGCAGAGATGTTTCCTGGCTGGGTGCGGTGGCTCACACCTGTAATCCCAGCACTTTGGGAGGCCAAGGTGGGTGAATCACCAGGTCAAGAGATCGAGACCATCCTGGCCAACATGGTGAAACCCCATCTTTACTAAAAATGCAAAAATTATCTGGGCATGGTGGTGCACACCTGCAGTCCCAACTACTTGGGAGGCTGAGGCAGGAAAATACCTTGAACCTGGGAGGTAGATGTTGCAGTGAGCCGAGATCACACCACTGCACTCCAGCCTGGCAACAGAGCAAGACTCCATCTCAAAAAAAAAAAAAAAAAAGATGTTTCCTTCCCCATAATTACCAAATGACGGCTTGAAATCATAGATGTCCCAATGTTAATGCATCTTAAAACCATCTAGGAAAAAAAAAACGGTTCTGGATAAGTAAATAAAATAGAAGTTAATGAAAACTGGCACCTTGTGTGGAGACTTCACGACAAGGGCTACATCCTAAAGCCCACCTGACCCTCTATAGCTTAGCATGCAGATGAGGATGGGATAGCCAAGGGAGAAGCTACGGTTTGCAGGTGAAAGCTCTTACTCCTGGGACCCCAAATAACTCATAAAATCCTCATGAAGAAAGACTGACCCAAAACTAGGTAAAGGAAATGGAGAGCAGCTCTGGGAATGACATTCTACCACCCTCGCAGGTGAGAGATAAATTGACCTTTGAGAGATGAGTGTTTCCAGTTACAGTGGATCAGAAACCAATGAAACTCCCAACCTTTATTTAGGCATAGATTCCCCCAATTTTACTTCTGCTTTGGTTTTGTCAACTGTCAGATGAGGATACTGTTATTTTATTTGTTGGTTTGTTTTGTGGACCAGATAAAATAACGCAGGGAGAGGGCCTTGAGTCTAGCACTTAATGGGTGCTAAATACTCACTAGAGAGCAGTCCACCTCATTCTTTGCCTGGTTGTCCCGAAATAACGCCCCCAAACATCATCAGAAACCATGTTTGGGATGGATTGTTTTTAGACTAGGCAGACCCTCTGGTGGCTCCAATTATATTAAGAGGATTTTATTTTTATGACACAAATTAATTTTCAATTGCCTCTACTTGTAGATAAACTAGTAAAAATAATTCTGAAGAGATGGCAGAATCAGATGAATAACAAGGAATCTATTCCCCTTAATGCTTATCATTATTACTATTAAATCATCCAACTCAAGGAGTTCCTAACAGCAGCAGCAGCAATGAAAGGGAACAACCAGGGCTCCCAGGAATGGAAGTCCCACAGCATTTTTTCCTTTCTGCCACACCACTCCCAGCACACTAGGGAGCTGTTTCTGTATTCGGCCATGGCTCTTGTTTGATAGCAGTGATATGCTCCCTCGCCTGTTATGTGCTATAGCCAAGGATGCAGGAGACCATCTAAGAGGACCAAGGCCCCTGGGGCAGGTTTCAGGAGCAGCTCACCATACTCATTCCCCTATGATCTAAGTAGAGGTCCTTGGTGCAACCGGACAGACATCTCTGTGTCTCTCTCCTCAAGTCTCCCAGAGCCTTTCTTTCCAGTCCCCGTCCCAGGTAGTATCTACACTTAAACAGATGAACAAAAAGGACCTAAGCCTCTACCTGTTCTGCTTCTATTCAGGGTGGGGTGTAGGAGAAAGAGAAAAATGGGACCTCCTCATAGACTTTTCCTTTAGGACTAGATCCATGTCGGCTGGGCACGAACTTTAGATGTACCTCTTTAAGATAACTAGAAAAAAGTGATGATCAGCATATCGGAAAGTACAAAATCCTGTTGCTTATTAGCAAAATGTGAAAGCACAGACGCCACAGCCAATCAAATAAAAATGATGTTGGAATAAGTAAAATGCGACTCTTCAGAGAATCAAACTGGTGACATAAAAGATAAACTTAAAGAAAACAGTCTACAGACAGCCCCCTACATCACCCTAAATCCCCCTATCTTCTCTGGTCCCCTGCATGGTGGACAAGCCACTGTGAAAGCCCTATTGTTCTGGGGATTCACATGGGTCTTCTTTTGTTTTGTTTGAGATGAAGTCTTGCTCTATTGCCCAGGCTGGAGTGCAGTGGAACAATCTTGGCTCACTGCACCCTCCACCTCCCAGGTAAAAGCAATTCTCCCTGCTTCCGCCTCCTGAGTAGCTGGGATTACAGGCACCTGCCACCATGCCCAGCTAATTTTTGTATTTTTTAGTAGAAACGGGGTTTCACCATGTTGGTCAGGCTGGTCTTGAACTCCTGACCTCAGGTGATCCACCTGCCTCAGCCTCCCAAAGTGTTGAGATTACAGGTGTGAGCCACCATGCCCAGCTGCATGTATCTTTTTACTATTGATATCCTGAATGGCCAACAATATACCTTATCTTTCAATCTCCAGTGTCTGGAAGTGTCTCTAGTGGGTAGGGATGTTTGGGGACTGTTTATTGAATGAGTTAAAAAATTCCCAAATAAAATAAATGAGTGGATTAGGAAATGAATGGCAAGACGGAACATAGAGAATCAGACCCTGATGGTCAGTATCCCCAAAGATGGACATTAATAATTACAGATCTAATGGAAGAAAACTTGGAAGAACTGAAAAAAAATATTAAAGGGATCTGAGATAAGAAATTGAGTGGGATCATCACATGTTCAACAGAGTTAATAATAAGAACATATGCCAAGGCATATCCTAGAGGGAGGGAGAGGAGCTTTCAATTTCAAAGATAAAACTCCTTCAAGCTTTTAAGTCAAAAAGCCAAAAAGAAAAAATATATATCTTACATGCTATCCTTTAAAAAGATTCTTTGACTTACAAGAATAAAACCCTGAGTGTTCCTGATTCAAAATAGAAGAAAATGGAGCAGCTCATGTTACAGACAGGGAAGATTTTAAGAAGAGATTGTCTTTGTTTTGGCATCAACTATTATCACTGGGAGGATCAGTACTCCCCTATAGAACAGTGTCTTCAAAGGCTCCAGCAAACATGGCTGAGGACCACTTTTCATAGCCTCTGTGGGAGAATGTGGTTCCCAAGGCACCTTGTCACACCTCTAGAACTCTGGGGTCCCATTAAATCACCAACTGTCCCATAGAGTACAGGATCCACAGCTGTACTGAAAATAGTTAACACTGTAGGTCTAAACTGCTATCTTTGGAAAGGCAAGGTAAGTCCCCGGCTAGTGTCTAGGAACTTAGAGTTCAGAGGGTTCCCATCACTCCTTGATAAGAGTGGCTCACTACACCTAAGCTGTTTTTTTCAAACAATGTCATTTATGCTGAACACTTGCTTTACTTCTGAAGTCTGGAGTTTTGGTGCATTCTAGGTAGAGGCTGCCTACATGACTGGCTCCCAGTAAAAGCCCTGGGTGCTCAGTCTCTAATGAGCTTTCCTAACGGCCAACATCACTTACCTGTTACTGGAGGAATTGAGTACATCCTGCATGATTCCAATGAGGGAAGATTATTGAAGGTTGAACTTCATCCCATGTGCTTTTCCCATTTGCTGACTTTGTTTTGTATCCTTTGATTGTAATAAATTATAGCTATGAATACCACTATATGTTTAATCACTGTATCACACAGATTATTCTAACTGTCATCATCCAGGCAAATATAATAACCTTTTAGAGTAATTGTCTCTATGGAATTCTACAGGCAGACAAGCTGGAGACCAGTGTGGTAAAAAATGGAGGAACGAGGAGAAGACCATCTCTGGGTCCCAAGACTATCATGTCTATCTTTGGCAAGAGAAAGGCCTGGAGATGATTCTGGAAAGCTTCATTGACATGTCAAATAGATGCTCAATATTCTTCTTGAGCACCCCACTGTCCTGCCAGGTCCTTGCCCATTCCTGCTGGGATGATAAAGAGCTTTATAGACCCTATAAAACACAGACATTTTTTTCCAGCTGTGCCATCTGGTTGTTTTTCTTTTTACAAACAGTCAGCAGAAAGACTCATCTGTTGAGACATAGATGTAGCAGTGTATGTGTGTTTGTGTGTGGGTGTGCATGCTCATCTCTTTATGCATTGGGCAGAGAAGTCTAATTATTGCTATGGCAGAGGAATGCATGGTGAAAGCATTCTGAAACATATGGGAAAGATTAAGACTCAGATGTTCCCCAAAGTGCATGTACACCAGCATCAGAAGCCCATCAGCCTCAGCCTTCTGCTGCCCCACCACCTCTGCTCTGACCTCCCTAAGGGGCTAGCTTTGCTCTTGTTCTGAAAGCAAATCAAGGGCAGCCCCGAGATTACCGGTAGTAGAACACACTGCACCCATGCCTTTGCAAGTCAAAGCTGGGTGCTCTGCTGATGAGAAAAGCTGTTGCCATTGGGATGGTGAAAAACATCGTGCCCGACTCTTGCAATCAACTGGCCATTATAATTTCATACTCTATGAGCACTTCTGCTGCCAATATCTGCCTATCAATGGGAACTGAGGCAACAGTTTTTTCTTAGAAATCTAATATTACAGATTCAAGAGGCTATCTTGTCTATCGCTCTGGGTTTGCGTATATATCTGAAGTATCTCTGAAATATCCAAAATATTTATCTGGATATAGAATAGATACTCAATAATGGTAACTGCTTTTCTGTTGGTCTCCAAGGAAGGCAGTTATTCTTCTACAATCATTCAATTGATATCAAGTATTATTGAACTTTCACTGCATATACAGATACTCTACTGGTCATCATTAGATAGTTCTCCAAAGAACAGAGATTCAGAGAGTCTTGTAAAGATTACAGCAATTAAGTGGAAAGATCATGGTTTGCTCCTTGGGCCACTGGACTGCAAACCTCTTTTCTTTCCCCTAGATTAGGATTTCTCCACTTCAGCACCGTTGACATTGTGGGCCAGATAATTCTTTGTGGCAAGCCCTGTCCTGTGCATTGTAGGATGTTTAGTGTTATCCCTGGCTGATACCAGTTGCAGCCGTCTAGTTATGGAACCCAAAGAGATCCCTAGACATCCTCAAATATCCTCAGGAAGGGGTGGAAAATCTCCTACCCTCCCACCTTCTGTTGAGAAACACTGCCCTGTAGCAAGCTGCCTGTGAAGCTTTGCTACTCAAAGTGTGGTTTGCTTCTCAAAGTATGCTACTCAAAGTGACCAGAAGCTTCAGCATCAGCATCACCCAAAACCTTGTTAAAAACAAATGCAGAATCTCACACCTCTTCTCAGGCCTACTGAGTCAGAACTGACATTTAAACAGGAGCTTCAAGGTGATCCATATGCATATTCAAGTTTGCAAAATACTGTTCCCTGGTATCTTGTGGTCACAGTTGTTCCTCACAGATTTTCCCAGACAAATTCAGGTTCTGAAAGTGAGAGGTCTAGCAAACTGCTCATGAAGTGAATCACATTCTTTCAATTACATTGTTCACTAGATTTTTGTTGAAATATTATAAATTTTTTTTATTTTACTTTAAGTTCTGGGATACATGTGCAGAATGTTCAGCTTTGTTACATAGGTATATATGTGCCACGGTGGTTTGCTGTACCTATCAACCCGTCTTCTAGGTTTTAAGCCCTGTGACCACTACGTATTTGTCCTAATGCTGTCTTTCCCCTTGCCCCCGGCCCCCAACAGGCCCCAGTGTGTGATGTTCCCCTCCTTGTGTCCATGTTCCATGTGTTCTCATTGTTCAACTCCCACTGCCACGGTATTTTCTTAAAAGCTAACTCCTGGGATAGGACCACCACTAGGATCCTAGGCTTTTTTTTTTTTTTTTTTTTTTTTTCGGAGACAAAGTCTTGCTTTGTTGCCCAGGCTGGAGTACAGTGGCGCGATCTCAGCTCACTGCAAGCTCCGCCTCCCAGGTTCACGCCCTTCTCCTGCCTCAGCCTCCCGAGTAGCTGGGACTACAGGCACCTGCCACCACGCCCGGCTAATTTTTTGTATTTTTAGTAGAGACGGGGTTTCACCGTGTTAGCCAGGATGGTCTCAATCTCCTGACCTCATGATCCGCCCACCTCGGCCTCCCAAAGTGCTGGGATTACAGGCATGAGCCACCGCGCCCAGCCGGGTCCTAGGCTTTAATTTGTGCATCCATTCATTCATTCATTGATTCTTGCTGAGGAAGTGCATTGTGCAGAGCACTGGGGATAAGGGATGCACGGAGCCTGGGTTGCCAACTGGAAGCCCATTCTGCAACTGCACTTTCTATGAGAGCCCGCATGGATCTCAGCTTCTGGACACAGATGCATCTGCTGTTCTCTGAGCTCAGCTAATGTTCACAGTCCATGCACTTCTGAGAACACAAACTGAACTCACTGTACCCGCATAGAATCAGCAGTGTAGGACCCCGCCACTGCATGGGAAGGGGATCTTGACTTTCAAGCTTTCTGTTGATTTATTTGAAATGTTTGATGAGGGCCAGCCAATAGCCTTAAGGTGAATGACTGTCTGATTCACAATGAGGAATGCTGAGTTAATCATACAGTGCTCTAGAAAAAGAGTAGTGGGGAGGGTTTGAGTTTGGAAATCAGGGTTATTCCCTTTTCCCTATCAGCAATTTCACAGAAGTTGTTTAAGCATGTCAGTTAAACGTTGGAATGTTTTTCAAATGAAACCTACAATAAGGAGGGGAGAACTGTGCCCTTAGCATCATAAGGCCAGGGTTGAAAAGAATTATGAACAAAGACTAGAGTAGATGGTATTTAAAATTCAATTAATTCTCATAAAAATGAATATTTTCATGCACAGCCCACTTTGAAAGTTCTCCCACTCCCTATCACCACCACCAATTTACCTGTCTGGAGATCATTCAAAGCCAACAGAACTGAGACCAGAGCCCATTCTCTCCTGGCCACCAGCAGAAACCGAGTAGAGAATAAACTCTCAGGCTATGAACCTTATAAGAGGACCTGAGAACTGGACTGAACTCTTCTCATGAAGTGGGAGGTATATGGCTTCCCAGGGCACTAGGAGGCAGGATCACCACACAGGGAGGGCTTAAAGGAAGAGGAACACAGAAAGAGAGAAGAAAATGAAAAGATTCATAGAAGTAGGGGGCAGAGTCCCAGGAGGATGGTGGTGAAGTGTTTTGCACCTTAGGAAGTTCAAGAGAAAGAGAGACCAGGGAGCCGTGAGCCTTCTACTCACACGCACAGACAGAATACTCACCCTGTATGGCTTTGAACACAGTTCTCTTCCCATATTTTCAGTCAAGACTGGTCTGACTTCCCTTGTGGATTAAGTATGTTTTCACTTCAAGATAGGTGGGAGAGTGGGAGAGGTATTTCTTTTTCTTTTTCTTTTTTTTTGAGATGGAGTCTCACTGTGATGCCCCAGCTGGAGTGCAGTGGTACAATCTCAGCTCACTGCAACCTCCACCTCCCGGATTCAAGTGATTCTCCTGCCCTAGCCTCTAGAGTAGCTGGGACTACAAGCACGCACCACCATGCTCAGCTAATTTTTGTATTTTTGGTAGGGACAGGGTTTCACCATATTGGTCAGGCTGGTCTTGAACTCCTGACTTCAAGTCATCTGCCCACCTCAGCCTCCCAAAGTGTTAGGATTACAGGCGTGAGCCCCTGCGCCTGGCTGGGAAAGGTATTTCTTAGAATGGCAGAAGAACAAGTCCATCCCACGATCATCCAATATATTGGATGATATCATACTCAGGAACCAATATGCATGGTGAGCTTTGATTTTATATATAAATCTAATTTTATATATTTATATATGAGTATACATATAAATATGTATATACTCAAAATGAATCTGTATTGTGTAACAAAATCTAATAAATAGAGAAGACATTTAAAATTAATTGCTGGACTCCCAAGTTAAAATTCCATTAAAAGTATCAATAATGTATCAATTTTTCAATTGCTGATTTAGACTGGTAAACATTTCATTGTCTTTCCTCAAAATTCAGGAAGAAGAAATGATGTTGTAATTTTCTTCATAAAACACAATATAATCTGTGCACATGCAATTTAGCAGACCAAATTTTATGAAAATTGATGACGATTAGCCAAGGACATTCTATCAGTGAAAAACAACAACAACAACAAAAAGATTGACTACCTGCATGCCAGGTTCTATAGTTAGCATTAAGAATGCAAATGTGAGAAAAGTTACAGCCCCATCTGGAGGGGGCATGATATTATGGGAAAGATTACAATGGGACGTGTCCATTCTGACACGTGTTCTGTACTCTCACAGAGGTTCAAGAGGTGTCACTGGCACCAGAAGCCCTCCATCCTCAACCCCACATGTTGGTGGTAAGGGCCCTGGAGAGTCTTTGGTCATGCAGAGATGATACAGACCAGTTTTATTTGTTTTGGTTCTCTCTGTTTGTTTGAACTTCACAGTACTCACTGTTATCATGGGAGCAGAGTGAGTCATGGCTCAAGTTTAGCTCAGAGTGGTACATTTTAGCCAAGCTTGTGTGTGTGTGATATATGTGTGTATATACATATTTACTAATATATAGTTTATATATGGGTGTATATATACTTTGTGTATATATGTATATTTACATATATGTACATATATAATACACATGTATTCATCTATATATTCATCCCATGATATATGTGTATATATATGTATAAAATCACACACCCATCATGAGATGTAGATATTAAAATAATGCAAGAATATACATATATATGTATAAATGTATGAGTAAATACACACACACACACTCTCACACATATGTACATCCCCTTCCCCTTCCAGTTGTACAATTCCCTCCTGATTGAGATTTCTACTATTATTTTAATACCCACACGCCATGGTGGGTCACTGGGGCATCATCCAGATGGGCAGTAGAGGTGAGCCTGAAACGTAAACTTTACCCCACCATTTGACAAGTTGTCTGTGCTCAGAACCTCATCTGGGATCTAATTTGCTAAACTGAAGGCCTTAGGCATTTTTGTAATGCAGCATATGGCCAAAAGAAATCAGGTTCTTTTTTTTTTTTTTTCAGTTGAATAAGGCTAAGAAGAGGAACTCACCCAAATTGAACATCAGTACATGAGAGGAGGATAAAAAAAATCCAAAGCTGTGCTTGCAACCTAGGCACAGAGAGGTGTAGACAAAGCCTCTGACACAAGGCGCTCTGATGACCACCAGGGGCATTCTTTAATGCGCAGGCAAATGAAGAATGATGCAGGGCTGTGCCAGAGCCTCATCAAAGGCAGAGGTATGCCAGGCACTGAGCTTCAGCACAGAGACTAGCAGAGCTTCCCTACATCTCTCTGGAGCCCTCTCAGCATGGAAACATTGCAATGGGATGAGAGGAAAGAATGTAATTGTACCTCAAAAGAGGTGACAGTTACAGGTAGGGGCTGTGATCCCTGGAACAGATTGCCCAATAAAAGCAAAGGCAGATTTCAAGTTGTCTGATCCTGAAAATTAGAAAAGTACATGACTTAGCTGATATCACTCTTTTTTCTCCCATTCACCTCTGGTGGCCTCAGAAAGCCCATAACCTCTAATGTAGTTTTCTTTTCCAAAATTTCTCCAGTTTCACCCCGACCTTCTTCCACACCACCCTTCCTACTAGCTCCTGGCTCACCTAGTGCAGTACGAGTAGTGCTGGAATCATCCTCTCCACATTGGGGTCAGTCTTTCAATCATCTTCCTTAGAATTGTCCCTTTTATCTGTTCCTTCTGCCCCAAACCCTGGTAACATTGCCCGATAACTGAAGTTCCCATGCAACTTTTGAGTTTTGTCCATGACTAGTGGGCATAGAAGGAGATTTTCTATTTGGTGGCCAAGTTTGCTGACAAGATCAGCTGCCTTTAGCATTTGTACGGGACTTTAATGAGTAAGGAGGGATGTGTTGTGTGGAGAAAGGAAGAAGGGCTTCCAGGCAGAGGAAGCAGTGTGCACAAAGGCACAGAGATACAGAGAGGGCACCAGGGATGGAGGCAGCATGAGTAACACTGAGGAGACAGAGCACAGTATGCATGGGGAGACAGTGGGTGATGTGTCTGTAAAGTTATGGCATCATAAAGAAAAGTTATGACATCATGAAGAAAAGCCACCCTGGGAGCAAAGCAAGTTAGGGTTGTAAGAGACATTTCTGAGATTAAAGCAGCCAGATCTATGATGGGGTGGGTACGGGTGGTTAAAGAGAAACAGAACGTGAGAATGACTCATGAGACTATTAAACTGACTTAACTGAAATTTTAAAAAAGGGGGAAATACCAACTACGATGCACCCCCCCCACCCCCACCACACCATGTTTTAATGCTACTCAAGGTCTATGGCTGGGAAAGGCCACTTGTTTTTCTTCAGTTAATGCTGAGACTGTTTGTCTGCCAGAGGTAAGAATGTCCTGCTTGGTCAAAGAACATGCTAGGATTTTGGAAAAACAGAGGAATGGTTTATCTTCCGAGAGAATAGACCTAGATTCTGATACGCTATATGCTATTCCACCAGATCTGGGGAAAATTACAGTAAAACCTTTTTTTTTTTTAGAATTATCATGGGATATTTAACATTAACCAAGTCCCCTAGTTACGCTGAATGTGTCCACTGGGCCTGACATGGACTTCTTGCATGGGAAGCGTACATGAAGTCAGGCCAAGTTGTCCAGCTGCATTGGCAATGGCTGGCCAGGAAAGGCCAGGCTGGATCCCATTTCATTTGGGCATTTCGCGCCAGGCTGTTGTCCCGTCTGCAAAGGGGCTGCTGGCAAGAAGCATCCCCAAACACTCAGTTGCAAGGATATAAATTTCAGTGAGCCTTTTCAATATTCATGCAATTACCCCGGAAAGCACATTTGACATTTCATAAATACAGCAGAATATTTAGCATTTGTCTCTCCCTCTCTGCTACCTAAGCATACATGGGAAAATATTCCCCAGAGACCCTGCTGTCTGAAATGGCAACAGTTATTGAATCCATAAATTTGATGGATCAAAGTCTTCCTTCTTCATCCCTTTTGTAATTTATAAATGAAAGTGTGACCATATAAATAAGGTGGCAGGGTGTCCTTCCTCATGGAGCACAACCAGCCATTTCTTGCAACAGGCCAGCCTCCCGCCAGCTCTGCCTGCAGCTTTAATCCTTCACGTTTGAGTCTCCAAAGTGAGCTCACAAACCAATAGACCCCACACAGACCTGTGCCATGGCATGGGGGCCTGAGTGTGGAGGCCCCAGACACCCAGGCAGCAGTAGACAGTGCCAACGACAGGCTTGTGTTCCTGCCTCAGAGCCACCGAACACGATTTCAGTTTCCCAAGGACTCTGGGGGCTCTGCAGATGGATTGAGAGAACTCTGGGGCCTTGCACACAGCCCTCCCCATCCTCCCACAACCCACACAGGCTCAGGAATAAAAACTGCAGCTCTTCAGCAGCTCACCTGAGGGTGTATCAATGAGAGAAGCAAACCACCTTGCTTGACCCAAGCCTGGCCTTTGTGAGCCAGCGCTGAAGATAGAGCTTCTGTATCAGAACAGCCCATCTCACAGCTGCCCTGTGGCATCCCAAACATAGGCCAGATCTTCATGGACCTGGCTCCTCTCCCCAGGCAGGAAAGTAGTATCTCTCCTGTGTGCCTGACATGAAACAAGGTCCTCCTCTGCCACCAATAGGCTTATGAAGATAAATAAGTAATGCATATTTTTCTCTAAAAGAAGGAACAGGAGCCGTTTTCCATACATGAGGCAATAAGGCTGACCTACCTGAGAGTTATTTTCAGAGCTATGTAGCGAATTATTTTGACTTTTTTCAATATTAGAGATGAATTCTTAATGTGTAAAATGTGTGTTTATATACATGCATGCATACATACATATATAATATGTGTATGTATGCATACATACATGTACATATAATATGTGTATGTATGCATCTGTGGATATATGTGTGTGTCTAATAGTGTGGTGTATCTGAGATCAAGTTGATATATGTTCATGAATGTGTATATTAAAGATTATATGTATAATATATGAATGAGCATAAATGTTAATGCTATCCACAGATGTGTATAAAATTATTGTGTGTATTGGTATTTAAAACTGGTATTGGTATTGGTAAACACGACTGGTATTGGTATGTGCTTGTATATATGCAATAATGTAATGTGTATAGGAATGCATATATGCACACACGCATTCATATGAATGAATATGTGTACGTGAGTCTATGTAAGCGTAGTTTAAATGTAGTTTATATTTAGTTTGAATTTCTCTATAGCAAAATATGTGTCGGGCACTGTATTTTACATATATTAGTTTATTTTCACATCTTTAAAAATCTATAATTACTTTCATTTTAACTGATGCAGAAAGTTACTGTCAGAGAGAGAATGGTTTGTTCAGGATCCCACAGGCGGCAAAAGGCAAAGTGGAGATTAAATCCTTGGTCTGACACACTGTAGATAGACAGGGCTCCTAATATATATGTATATACACAAATATTCACATATGTTGTGTAGGTATGTGGGGTAGGGGTGTGCATGTGCACATATGTATGAAAGGGGTCTCCTGTGCAGGGTCTATGTGCACAGGATTCACCTGCATGCATATGTAGTCTAAGCCACCTCCTCTCATTGATCCATTTATTTTCCCGAAAGCCCTTTCTTCACCATCAGTCTCTTCACAGGATGATTGTCTATCTGTGACCCTTTGGCCCTTTTAAGTGCTGCTGCAACAGCAGATAACCAGATATGGGACCAGCCACTTTGGCAAGGCCACCTAATGCATCTAGTATGTTCAAGAGACCTGCAGAGCCAGGGGTTAGGAGGACCTGTGGTGCTGAGTGGCTCCAAAGTAGGCCCATCAGATTTCTCCAGTTCATGAAGAAAGTGGGCACCTTCAAGTGGAATGTCTTCATAAGGTCCCAAACGAGTTGCTAATCATAAAATGGGGACTGCTGTGTCTTCCACTCAAAGTAGCTGATGGAAGAAAGCCAGAGAAGATAAAAGTGTCTGGCATACAGCTATACAGATGCAGCGCTTTAAAAGTGTCCTCTCCTTGCTGTGGAGACACAGTACACTGCAGTAGTGCTGGCCAACAGGCAGGTGGATGTTTTACTATTCATCTTCTTTCTTTGAAACCATTACATTTTGCACACATGAGTTCACTTCCAGCCTGCATCTCCCTCTTTGGGAACTGCCCATAGTGCAGCAGCAGAGGCCCTGCAGCCATGTGGACACCATGTGATCTGCCTCCACTCAGAGACAAATGATTGGAGGAAGGGGAGCCTCCCACAGTAACACCAGTGAGATTCAGGCTCCAGGAACCTGGACTGAGGTGGAGGGGCTCTTGCAGGCTTCTGGAGCCCATTGGAACTGAGAGCCTCACTAGAGCAGGACTGAGGCACCCCTGGCATGCTGGGGTGAAGGAAGTTGTTTATAAAGGAAAACAAAAAATTTAGCTGGAAGAAACAGAATCAAGATACCATGTGGCCCCTAGAAGACAAGCAATGACCTTGCTTCTTAAATTTTCATTTCCATGTTCATTCCCTCCCAGACCTGGCTGTTACTCCTCAGGTTCCTTCAGGTAACTGCTATGTCCTTCCAAAAGCACCTCCCTTTTGCTTATAATATTCTGGATGCATTTCTATTCCTGTATTTTGCTTATAATATTCTGGGTGCTTTTCTGTTCAGTGATGCCTGAATTTTAAATGCTCAGCTGTGTCTGAGGCACTGAGTGTTCTAGAACATTCCTGCCACCCCTTTCACTGTTTTGACATTCCTATGATCTTAGTCTTTTTCACTAAGACTAGTTTATAGTCTTTATAGTCTTAGTGAAAAAGAGGCTGGAAAAAAACTCAAAAGGTTGGGATATCCTAATATCACCAAGTAAGAAAGGTGGCCCTGAACATTTATGATACATTGAAAGCCCCCAATTCAAAATATCCTCCTAATCAGCCATCCTTGTTTCTCCTGAAGATGTAGTATCTGCACATAGGATTCTAAAAAGACATTATACATGCAAATATCATGGGTGACATATGACATACACATGTAGCCAAGGGTGACAGCTGGCATCTCTCTGTTCCTTAATATTTAAATAAAATTGGTTCAAAAGTATATGCTTTTCTGTTCTGAAGTTTCATATTTGCCCATTCTTTGTGATTTCCCAGGGACTTCCTTTATTATGTCACCCAGTTTCTGCTCTCTGCTTATATTGATGCTCCCCTCCTTTGGTGATTGTCTTAATCTCTCACCTGGAACCCAGGCCCTGTCCCTTGATTTCTGGAAAACACCATTCCTGCAGACATTTTGGATTTGCAGCTGCTTTTCCTGAAGAGGCTCAGCAGTGTTGCTTAGCAAACAACCTAAAACTGAACCACACATACCTCGTCCTTTTCTCAGCAGCCTTGGAACGCCCTTTCCCCTGCACCCACAACTGTGCCAATCCCTCTGAGCAGGACAATACCTCCTGCTGCTCCCTTCTCCCACTATCTCACCTGCTTCTCCTCTGCCCTGCATCAATCTCCTTCTCTCCCACCCACGCTTCCCCCTTAATTCCTCTAAGCATGAACATTTAGCTTTCTTTGATAAACCCCCAACCCACTCAGACAATCCCCACGGGGCCTCCAATCATATCCATAAAGTCCCATTAAGGCTTGTTTTTAAACAAGCACAATTCTCTCCCTGAGTGGAATTCTGCTCCCAACATCCAAAATAACATTATTTCCCTCCCCCTTACACAGGCAGCTGAAGGAAACAAGACCCTCTTGAAGAGCTCGGGGACCTCCTTCTGTCCCCAGTCTCTTTTTCAGCTCTGTCCCAACACCTCTCTCCTGACAGCCTGCCTGCCCTTCTGCCCAGCTTCTCTCCATGTCGGCCTACAACAGCCTGGCTCCTTCCTGCAGGCCCTTCCTTCTTCCTGGAAGACCTGCCCTTTTCAGCTGTGAAATTCCCCTTCATCCTTCTAAACTCAACTCAAAAACTGCCTTATCTTGAGACTCCTCTCCCAATTCCCTGAACCCAAGAGGAATTAGACACTGCTGTCCCTGGGCTTTCTCAGACCTCTGTTTTCATGACAGGAGCAATTGCCCCTGTGGACAACAACATGCTCATACCAGCACCTTCCCCTTCCCAACAAGGAAACTTTTCAGTAGAGGCCAGGTCTTTTCCATCCCTCTATCTTTGTCATGAGAGATGACAAGTAATTACTTCTCTGATAGTGTCACATAAACAGATGTATAAATGAAGAACAGGTGACATTTATTTAATCACTCCCACCACCATATGTCAAGCAGTATTCTAGGCACCTGATAATGTATTCAGTTGTTTGAGTACCTATGTGTACTTCCTTACCACAACACTACAAGGCAGGAGAGAGCATTAGGTGTTTTTTATACCTGTATCATGGGACTCATCAATGTTGAGTTTATATAGAATCATCCAGGTAGAAAGGGCTGGAGCTGAAACCTGAACCCAGCCTAGAATCCTAACAATTATAGTGGACTCTGAAAGAAATGAAATTTTTTAAGGTCAAGGGGAAGAAAATGAAGGGTTTCTTCATGAACAGTGGTTTTAGGTTCATACAAAAGACATTTACTAGGGAACCATATTGATACTGTGCTAGAATCAAAAGGCACAAAGACACCTGTACCTTACTATATCTGTGACTATAGCTGTGACTACTATAGCTGTGACTTACTATAGCTGTGACTGTTGTAGCTGTGACTTACTATAGCTGTGACTGTTAGGTGCTCCGGAGCCAAATAACTTTAGTGGGAATTCCTGACCTGTCTTTCAACTGAGGTAAGAAGCACCTGTCATAAATACTCAGGACTCCATAAAGTACAACCATTTTTAATCTCACTGCTGTGTAACATAATGTCAGGAACACACACACACACACACACACACACACACACAATAATTACAGTCAGGCCTGGTAAATGCCACAGCTCTGTAGACTAATCTGAGGCCAATGGTTGTTACAGGAACTTGGGAACTTGAGGTATGCCTTGGCCATCCAGACAGGTCAGTAACCAGAGTGCTTTGGCCGTAGCCACAAAACAGAAGGATAAGCTCAGAATCATGATTGTGGGCCCCTGGCCCTGCTGAACTGGCCAGGTTGGGAGGAAGCTGACCCTTTCTCTAACACTTTAATGGCATGTGAATTATGTTCTCTTTGCCAAAAGAAGTGTTAGTCTCTTTGCTAAAATCACACTCTAAAGCTCTCATAAAAAAGATTCTAGTTCCATAAGCTAATATTGACATAAGGACAACGAGAAGCATATGCAAAGAGAGTTTATTTGAACCCGTGGGAACAAATGTTTCCTGCTCTCACTCATTAGAAACATCAGCAGTAGCCAATGTGGAGTTCCTTTCATGTATGTACAAGGAGAACAGGAGCATGCAGATGAGAGCACACATGAAGACAAGGGAAAGGACACTACTCTGGATAAAGCTGATCATGTTTTTGAGCCTTTTCTAAATAGTACTGATAATATATGATTGTATTAGTTAGCTATTGCTGCATAACAAAGCACAGCAAAATTAATGACCTAAATAGCACTCATATAGAATTTCTCAGGCAACAAGAAGATGGCTGGGTCATCAGCTTGAACCCAGCTCATGCATCTGTGGTCAGCTGGCCAGTTGTCTGGGGTTTGCTCATCTACAGTGACCTCAGCTGGAATGACTGTTCTGCTCTGGGTGGTTTTTCATTTTCCAGCAGGTTAATCCAGGCTTGTTCTCATGGTCATGGTAAGAGTTCAAGAGAAAAGGTGGAAACATGCAAGGTCTTTTGAGGTGTGGAACTAACACACTGTCAGCTCTATCACTTTCTTTTTCCTAAAACAAGCCACCAGGCCAGTCCAGATTTCTGGGGCAGGGAAGTAAATGTCGTCTCCTGATGGGAGAAGCAGAGGTCACTTGGCAAAAAATTTTCTACCCTGCTCAACAGTAACATGGTGAGAAATTAACTAACATTTGTTGAATGTTGAAGACTCACTATTACCTAGTTATTTTTTATCTCCACTTTTATGATGAGGGAACTAAAATTTAGGAAAGCAACTTGGCCAGGACCGGAAAGCTGGAAAGTAAAAGAGCTGAGGTTTGAAACAAGCCTGTGCCTTTTCTGTTTCACCAAATAGGCCTGACAGCTCTCTGTGCTCTTTAATATTGATGTAAAGAAGCAGGCATGCTTGACTTTGGGTGTTCACAAGGGATGTGTGACAGGAGGGAGGATTAGCCGAGACGCTGGGGAATAGGCAGTGTCCAGGCAAACAGGCTGGCACAATAGAAAGAAAAACGGCTTTGGAGTTAGACACTCCTGGGTCCAAACAGCTATAAATCTGTTTCCTCATTTGCAAGATGGTGATAGCAGCCCCCTTCTCACAAGACTGTGTGAAGAATAAATATGCTCTGAGCTACCTGGTTTCAGATGCAGGACCTATCACTGGCTGGGTGTTTGACCTCAGATAGGTCATTCTGCTTCCTTGAGCCTTGGTTTACTTATCTGTAGAATGGGCCTATCAAGGGTCCTTGTCTTATAGAGTTATTGTGAGGATTAAATGAATTCACTTCTGCAGAACATTTAGAATGCCTGACATGTAGTGATATATAATAATCAACATGCAAATATGCCTGTGCATTTACAGTGCCTTAGAGACAAAGGCAGTCATACAAGGCCAGTGTGCTGAACTCCATCGACGATCCGACAAAGGATTTGCTATGGAGTGAGCACTTCATAAATTGCACCTCCGCATATAGGGGCTGAGGGGCCTGACAGAATCAGATCTAGAGACAAACTCTGACTTCAGGTCCTGTTTGAGGAGTCAGTGCTTCTGTCCAACTCAGAGGGAAGCAATGGAAATGGGTTTCAAAGCCATTTTATGTGCAGGTACTCAGAGAGAACTTGCTCTTCCAGAGATAGAATTGTCATGCTTTTGGAAGGCACACAGCCCAGAGGGCTGTCATGTGTAGTTGAAAAGTAGGGAGATAAAAGCATTATCAGGGAGAAAACTAGTCATTTTACAGTCACACATACATACACAAATATGCACACATACATACACACATATACACATATACATATGCACACTCACATTTCTATCTGGATAGTTGATGGTATTTGAGTGGAAAATATACCAAAAGAAATAAATAGGCTGAAGTGTATCCAACCCTCAAAATTCATGTGCCAAAATACTCATCCCCAATGTCTCAGAATGTGACCATATTTGGAAAGAAGGCTTTTAAAGAGGTAATTAATGGGAAAGTAAAACGAGGTCATATAGATGGGCCCTAATCTAATACGACTGGTGTCCTTAGAGGAAGAGGAGATGAGGACACAGACATACACAGAAGGAAGACCATGTGAAGACACAGGGAGAAGGTGGCCATCTTCAAGCCAACGAGAGATGCCTCAGGAGGAGCCAACCCTGCTGACACCCTGATCTCAGCCCTTCAGCCTCCAGGGGTACAAGAGAATGAATTTCTGCTGCTTCAGCCACTGTCTGTGGAACTTGGTTATGGGAGACTAATACAGTCAATAATTGGCCATTGACTTTATATAAAATGTCAATAAAAGAATGTGGGACTCCTAGACCTAGTTTGTTTTCCCCAGGCCAGGAGAGCTGTGAATTATTATTTTTAATTGTTGCATAATAATTGCCCATATGTATGGGCATGTGTGATATTTTGTTACATGCATAGAACATGTCATGATCAAGTCAGGGTATTTAGAATATCCATCTCCTCAAGCATTTATCATTTCTGTGGAGCTGTGGACTCTTCATGAAAAGTATGGAGGGGCTGGCCTGCAGAACCAGGGGCCAGGGTAGGGGGAGAGCTGGAGACACACTCCCATCCTTCTCCCCACACAAAGTCCTTTGGACACAACCATGCCGCTCTGGTTGAACCCTTATTTCTAGGACCCTCCCCAGTCTGTGTTCATGGTCAGCTTTGGCCTCAGCCCATGCCCTGGATTTTCCACTGTGGCATCCTGCTCCTCCCACACCTGCCTTCCCTCTCTCCTCCCGCGGGACTCACTCAAATCTGACTGAGAGACTACTGTGTGCCACCCCCTGCTGTCTCTGCATCTCCCTACTTTTGGGTCTGAAGAAGTGTGAGGACAGAGTATTATGTGCACACCCATAATGCCTGCCGAGTCTTCAGGGTCCCTTGGCTTGTAACTCACTTCACATGAATATGAACAAGTTGATATTTTTAAGGTTAATGACCCAGTTGCTTATGAGACAGGCAGGGTTTGAAATTAAGCAGCTCATATGAACCGGAAGCCTGTGAAACAACCTTTATTATGCGGCTCGGCAGTATCTGAGAAAACTAATTCATCCTTTGGCACCGATACAACCATCCAAGACTCGTGTTCTCCAGCTAATTTACACTTTGGAAAAAAATTCCCCAAGTCTTCTCACTTCAGCAAGTGTCTCACGTTTTTTTTTTTAATTTAATTGTGTACATCAGGACTCAACTGGTTGCAGTTGCTGAAAGTAAGCTTAGCTTACTTACCTATAGGGCAATAGAAATAAATTGCCCTAAACAGAATGGGCGGCAGTGAACAATATTCAGCAACTATGCTGATTTACAACACAGATAAAAATTGTCCTTTTTTCACCAGTCATAATTAACATTGGCAGGTTTTCAATTATACTACAAGTAGCATATCGTCTATTTTCTCATTTCTTCTTAATTTTAAGAGGCTGTGATTTTTCCATCTTTTTGCACATCTCCTCACTCTTGTCAGTCCACTTTCCTGTCTGTAAGATGGGTCCTGAGCTAATGCAGCCACCCCAAAAAGTGAAAATTAAAAATCCAAACTGAGTTCTGTCAAATACCAACTCTGTACAGGATTGGGCCTCGCCGGCTACCTGCTGTTTCCTAATGAAGAGGAGCATGCTGAATTTTACCTCCCTATTTGATGGTCTATTTTTTTCCTTTTAAAAATTGTTTTATTATTTAAAAATAACAATAATGCATAGTAGTTCTACCATATTCTAAAATTCAGAGTTATAAAAATATTATTGAATCTTCTCCCCATCTCCTAATCCCACCTGAGTTAAACAGCATTTGCAGTGTCTATCCTTGCCTTTCTCTCTAATCATATGAAGATAGATGATAGATAGATAAATAGATAAATAATAGATAGATATGCACATAAAAGCCTTTTTCATTTTTAATTGTTTTACAGAAGTGTGATGATGCTATTCACATGACTGAACCCTTTGATTTTTGTAGTCAATGACTGCTAAATCCCTCTGACCCACAAACATGCACCTCATTTTTCCCTTTTAACTGTAGCATAAAATTTGATAGTAAGAATGTTCTGTGGCTTAATCAACCATTCCCCTCTGGTAGATATTTAGGTTGTTTTTTTTATCTCTGTGCTTTCTCTTTTGAATACTGCAAACATTACTGTGATAAATGTTGTACTCATGTTTGTAATATCACCTTCCAAAAGGTCAACATATATAGATACTTTCAGCTGCACTCTGTACACTGATATTATTTTCCTTAAAAGTTACAGCAATTTACAGTTAATCAGCAATGTGTTCTTCATATCTTATTTCACTTAGCTATTATCTATCTAAACAACATATCAAGAGTGGGAGTCCTTGACATATTCAGGAAAGTGACCTTTCGTGCTACATGCAATTTGGATTTTCAGCTACCTATGAATGCCTCGAAATTTTCTTTTCACTTAATTTCACTTTTGTTCTTTCACTTGCAAGAGACTTGATTAATACATCATATATTTTGCCATACATAGTATTTTTATTATAAGTTTTCTTCTCTAAAGTATGCCCTCATCCAAAAATTGTACAATTATTCTCCTAAATTTTCATTTAGATTTTCATTTGTTGGGAAGTTTTTTTTTCCTCCATTGGCTTTAGATATAAGCACGCTAAAAGGTTAAGATTTTCTTGATAGCAGGGAGGCATTAGGAATGTTTACACATCTGTATCATCCTCAATGCCCTCTACTCAGTGTTTCACAAAAGAAGGGCTCAGGAGACATCTGTTTAAGAAAAGAAAGGAGAAAAGATTGAAAGAAGAAAGGAAGAAAAGGAAGAAAAAAATGGAAGGAAAGAAGGAAGAAGAAAAGAATGAAGGAAAAAGGGAAGGAAGGAAGGAAGGAAGGAAAGTTTCCCTAGAAAAGAAGGAAAAAAGATGAAAACATGTTTATAATCTTTTAGGAAAAAAACATTTTTCTATATTACCCAAGATGGTGATGTTAGTCCCTGGGTCTTTCATAACTCTTGTATTTGTTAAGATTTAAGATTTTCTCCTTTTTTCCTTGCTTTCTTCTATATTTTTTTCCTTTCTTTTCTTCAACAAGTATTCCTGAGTGGCCTCTACTGATGGTGACTATTCTTCTATATTCTCACTTCCCTCTTCAGAAGTTCTGGCATGCGGGTCACACATATTTGAGTTTAAAATCCTTGATCAATCACCTACAAGCTGGTTTTCCTTGGAAAAGTAGTCTGGCATCCCTGGGCTTGTTCCACCCACCTGTAAAATGTGGCTAATTGGCACCACCCTTACAGATCAGTCATGGGACTTCATTGGGATTACAGGGCAAAGGCCCTGACCCAGGAGGTGCAATACAGATGGCCCTAGGCTGACTTTGTTCAATTAGTCCTGCCCCCAGATTTCCTTTGACTGCCCCATTCTAACACATTGGGAAAAAGAGGAAACACCGGGCCCTGGGGATGTTCTCGCACATCTCACCTCCTTTTCCCCTCTCCTCTCACACCTCATGTGTGTTGGAGCCCACAGCGTGCCAGGGACCAAGCTGCTTTCTTCTGTGTCATGGATTGCCACATAGGATTTGCCATCCCTTCATGTTTTCTGGGTCATAGAACTCCTTGAGAAATCGACGAATGCTTTAGATCCTGTCCTCAGGAAAAAAATAAATATAAACGCCTCCATTACTATGTAATTTCTGTGTCACAGACACCCCATAGAGGATCCATCCTTAGACCTCAGTTAACGGCCTGGATCTGGAAAGTGGTGGCTTCAAACAAATCCAGCCCCTGCATCCTCCAGAGATCACAGCTGACATAGAATGTATGTGTCTGCGGCAGGCAGCCATGTGTGCATCAGCCAGCAGCCTCCCCATCAGCACCCTACAGTGGAATTGTGGGGCTTCCCCCAACAGCGTGAGTGGTAATGCCCATGGTGGGCTTGGCAGAGGTGACTGCCCATTCTCCATCAGCCAGGCCTGGACAGGGGTGGAGGGAGAAGGGAAGGTGCCCAGAGAGTTTCACATGTTTTTTCTCTCTTATGCTTACTTGGCAGTTTGTCAGTTAGTAAGGAAAAATGAAAAGTGGCTATCTTATTTAAGTGACTATATTATTTAACCCCCATAACAGCCCTGAATGAGCTTGTTATCATTCTTCCAGATTAGGGATGGAGGTGTCTGGGAGAGGATATGACTTGGTTGAGGTAACATCAATAGCAAGAGGTGGAAGGGATCATATCCATGCCCAAAGCCCGTGCTTTAATATTCCAGTGTGGTTTAGTCAAATCCAGACTGCTGCATGTTCTAGGACTCAACAATCTAATAAAATTAAGAAGCTAACCAAAGAGAAGAAAGGAGCCACCCACCCTCAGGAGCAGTTTTCTAAACATCTAGGGACATATCCAGAGGACCCAATGTTAAGGCAACACAAAAGAGGCCTTACTGACCACGAAGACTCTAGAGGCAAGGATCTAAATGAATGAAACTGAGTGTGACCTTGGGGAAAAGTCTCAATGAATCTCATTACAGACACAACGGTGCCTGTCCAAGTTCAATCAGACAAGTATTGGTGTGCGACTTCCCT
This sequence comes from Homo sapiens, assembly GCF_000001405.40. NCBI lineage: Eukaryota > Metazoa > Chordata > Mammalia > Primates > Hominidae > Homo > Homo sapiens. The sequence goes on from NC_000010.11 coordinate 85,445,597, forward strand.
CCCAGAGCCAGACCTGTGCTGGTGCTAGGGATAGAAGGATAAATAACACATGGTCCTGGTCTCCAAAGGGCTCACAGACTCACAAGAGGAAGATAAGTGCAATGCAAAGTAAGAAGGTGTCTGCAAGATGCTGCAGGGGGTAAAGAGAGAAAGTAATTGTGCTAAAGAGTGGTAAAAATCCCCTACAAGATGTTAATATGACAGCTGGGTATTTTCAAAAATGTAGCAGTTTGCCGTGCTTAGAAAAGAAAAAGGGAGAGACATTCCAGGCAAAGGAAAGATCATGAAAATGAATAGCTTATGCATTAGTAACAACATGTCTAAAATGTCAGTGGCTTATCACAACAAAGATTTTCATCAGTTGTAGATCCACATCTTCAAGGAGAGTCTGGGATGGGGTTGGCAGCCTGGATGCTGCTCCACACCACGATTAAGGGACCTAGGCTGAGTGGATGACCTCCAAGGTCACAGGCCAGGAAGAGTCTGGACAAAGAGAAACAGCTGTTAATAACTCAGCCCAGAAGTGACA